>NC_000003.12:104614664-104917695 GCF_000001405.40 Homo sapiens
TATAGGAGAGCTGGAATTTATAGCACAGAGAGACCGCAGCTGGATCAGCAGATTGATCAAATATTTCACAGGTGGTCAGTATGTCTGGCAAAACTTGGGAGTTACCTTGAAGCCAAACAAAAAGCTGGCTCTGAGTCAGGTGCATTTTCTGTGGCTCCAATACCTGAATATTTATTCCTGCCTGCAAGAGACTAACAACTAAACCAATCTATATTCCAAATCAAACATCTGTGCTAGTAGGAGATAAATTTAAACTTGATTTCTACTCTAAAACTACCTACCCCCCCATCTAGTAAACCATCAGATAAGAACATATCATTAAGAATAAAGTATTGATTTTCTGCATTAGCTGAATGTGTCAGATATTCAGATGTTACATTTTTTCCTAAATAATCTTTTCCATCAAGTGTGAGCAGATGTATCGTGAAGTAATAAGATGGGACTTGGGATGAGGCAGTAGTTCTCGTAGCATTTCTCATAGTAGTTCATAGAGGTAGAATTAGTATCACCTGGGATTTGATTAGGAAAGCAAATTAAATTTTCAGTCTTACCACAATGCTGGAACATTCACATGCTCCAGAATCATCTAGCGAGCTTGAAAAATGGAGAGTACAGGCCCTATCTTTAGAGTTTCTGATTTTGTAGGTCTAGGGTGAGACATGAGAATTTGCACTTTTTAAAATTTTTTTTTCGAGTACAGCTCATGCTAGAGTGCAGTGGCTTGACCCAAGACCCAGTGTAGCCTGAGGAGCCTCAGCCTCCAGTGCTCAAGTGATCCTCCCACTTCAGCCTCCTGATAGCTGGGACTACAGGCACACCACCTCACCCAGCTTTTTTGTATTTTTTATAGAGACAGAGTTTCACCATTTTGCCCAAACTGCTCTCAAACTCCTGGGCTCAAGTGATCCTCCCACCTTGGCTTCCCAAAATGCTGGCATTACAGGCATGAGTCTCTGTGCCAGGTTGGAATTTGCATTTCTGAGTAATATCCAAGTGATGTTGAAGCTGCAAGGACCACATTTTGAGAGCTGGTGTTTTTGAGAGGTGGATTTAAACCTTGGTGAAATATGAGATTTATGAGTGGAACTTTTATAATTCCTCATGCCAGCTTTCACTTCAGACTAATTAAATCAAATTATCAGGATGGGGGTACTTTTGGATCAGTACCCCCCTTTGATCAAGATCAGTAATTTTTAAATCTCCACAGATGATTGTGCTAGACAGTCATGTTTGAGATTGACTGCAGTATAGAAGAAACAGAATCATGAAAACGGAGGATGGAAAATATCAGATCTAACAAGGAGGAGAAGATCTAGTTTTTACTGAGCCAGCCATTATTTAAAATGTATTTTATCCTCACTTATAACTTTTATTCTTTAAATATATGTAGCTACAAAATCTGTAGTTATTAAATAAAAATCCTTACTTTCTCCTGGCCAGACACACCCATCTATTATTCTCTCTCACATACACAAAAGTATATGTATACACACACACACTCACGAATCCACCTAAGAAAAAGACACTATAAAGAAGTAAATAACAACATTACAAACGGCTTCATTCTAGAGCTGACTAATTAGTAATTACCCAAAGAGAGAAATGCTTTTAAATGTATGTCTCTGGAGTATGTGTTCTTTTTGTATTCACTGTGTATCTCAGAACAACACATGGCACATAGTAATCTTTCACTAAATATTTAAGCAAATAATGAATTAATGTATCTGAGATGCATTAGATCTTAAGTAGATATTTCCAGACCTTTTATATGGTGACAATGTTTTTAAAAGTGAGTTTTTGCTGGCTATATGCTTTCCTATTTTCAACTTAAGATATTGACAGTGCTTGTGATGGTACTTTTGTTATTTCATTGCGTTTCAGAAAAATCCTGCTTATATACAACAAAAATACCAAAAAGGCTCATGTTTTTCTTTCCTCTTTTTTTTCTTATTGGGAAGTCATTCTTTGATTTGCTTTTTAGCAAATTTGTTTCACTATCTGTGAAAAGAAATCGAACATTCATCATGTGCCATCTAACTCAAAGACATGGAACATAAATTGCTAAAAGAAGGTCTTTATGTTCCTTTTTTTTTCTTTTACAACAAAAAACACTGCACTCCAAGCCTTAAGCACAATGCTACTCTAACATGGCTATTTGCAAACTAAATGGATAAACTACAATAGAGGAACACACTGTTACAATCAGGCTCTCCTTTGAGGTAGGAATACACAATTAGAGATATAATTCTCTAAGAGTGGCTACAGGCTTTCTCCCCACAATTTCCAGAAACTGTGCTTTTATTATGGCATTTGCTGCCTGTTTGGTAATTTCAGTAGAGCCTCACATTGCTACTAATGTAAAAGATTTGTCAGATTTTCCATTGTGAACTTCATTGTGTTGAGTGTTTAAACATTTCCAACTGTGTCAGACTAAAATTCTTCCCTGCAAGTTTCCATCTCAAATTCATTTTTCAAAATATTAAAAATGGTAAACAAATCAGTTTAGCATATTTCACTCTGGATTTCAAGAAACAACTGAAAAATACAAATTGGGGCAATAGTGTTTGCCTCATTCACCAAGTGCACACAAACTTATGCATGCAGGCACTCACACAAATACATACATTTCACCTAAATACAAAAGAAAGAAAAAGAGTGAAAGATTTTTCCAGATAAAGAGGAAAACATTGCTTAAATTTTTTAGGGAGCTCAGTGATTGCTCAGATCATGAGAGCCATGAAAATATTTGCTTAGTGATAATAATATTTTTACTGAGAACAGAAGTCGTGAAAAAAGACCAACAAAATCTGTTGCTGTTAATATTTATTGACATTTTATTCTTTAATACAACATGTCTTTTAATCATGTATTGTTTCATCAGTGACCCTCATGGCAAGAAGTATGACAGAGCACTTCTTTTGAATGAACACAATCCTTTCTTAGAATGTTAGTAATCCCACCTTCCCCAGATCCTAACCTCTGCCTATCTACTCTTCACTTACAGCAGGGTTAGTATTAAGTTTCCTACCTAGATACAAACTTTATCCAAAATACAATAAATGGATGTAAGATGTTGCTGTGATACACTGAAGTATATTATAATGTCAGAGGAGAAAAGAAATTTTCCTGAAAATATTTAAATTTGATACTCTCTGAATATAGTAAGATGGAACATCATCTCTAAGACTTCTTGTATATCCTTGAGTATATGAATAACAGCAACTTTATAGTGCTTTTCATATGCAGTACTTAAATTCAGCACTCATTCTTTTCTCTTAATTTTTGACATGGTATAGTAAGCAAGTCTTCTTATTCTGATGTTTTGACATCTGGGCCTTACTGACTCTGAAAAGATTACTCCTTGCAGGGCTACCCAATTTCTAGAGATAGTGTAGGACGAGGTAAAGGAGCAGAAAAGATAATTATCTGGTACTGGGCTTAATACCTGGATGATGTAATAATATGTACAACAAACCCCTATTATAGATGTTTATCTATGTAACAATCCTTCACATGTACCCCCAAACTAAAGTAAAAACTAAGAAAAAGAAAACAAGAATAAATTAAATGCATGTACTTATACATAAAATATATTTATAGAATGATGTTCATCAAGCCATTTTAAATGGTTTCATTAAAGTTATATTTGAAAAAATAAAAACAAAATGAAATAATTTAAAAATAAATAAATAGGCCGGGCGAGGCGGCTCATGCCTGTAATCCCAGGACTTTGGGAAGCCAAGGCAGGTGGATCACGAGGTCAGGAGTTCAAACCAGCCTGGCCAAGATGGTGAAAGCCCATCTCTACTAAAAATACAAAAATTAGCCAGGCATTGTGGCAGGGGCCTATATTTCCAGCTACTCAGGAGGCTGAGGCAGAGAATTGCTTGAACCTGGGAGGCAGAGATGCAGTGAGCCAAGATTGCGCCACTGCACTACAGCCTGGGCGACAGAGCGAGACTCTTGTCTCAAAAAAAAAAAAAAAATTGAGTAAACTCAAGGAAAAAAATAAAAACCTGCCTGCAAGTGCACCTTTCTTATGCAAACTAACCTGAAGCCCATACTCCAACCACCTTCTTTACTGGGCTGTTACAGAGCTCCCAAACATAGTGCTATGTTTAGGCTTTGTGTCCCCACCCAAATCTCATCTTGAATCGTAATCCCCATAATCCCCATGTGCCAAGGGAGGAACCAAGTAGATGTAACTGAATCATGGGTGCAGTTTCTGCAGTGCTGTTCTCATGATAGCGAGAGAGTTTTCATGAGATCTGATGGTTTTATTAGGGGCTCTTCTCCCTTCACTCAGCACTCCTCCTTCCTGCCGCCTTATGAAGAAGGTGCCTTGCTTCCCCTTTGCAGGCCACCATGATTGTAAGTTTTCTGAGCCTTCCCCAGCCATGTTGAGCTGTGAGTCAATTAAAACTCTTTCCTTTATAAATTATCTAGTCTCAGGTATGTCTTTATAGCAGTATGGGAATGGACTAATACACACAGAGTCTCTGTCTACCTGGCCTAATCACCCCACAACCATATACCAAACACGTATGGACACACTCTAGGGCCAGGACCTGCAAAATTTTTTCAAACTAACCAATCCTAAACCTGCTTACCCTGCCTTGCCTTGACTACTTACAAAAACTAAAATAGAGCCCCTTGCTCACATTTCCCTTTGTACCTTCTGCCTCCTACACTGCCCTGGTGACTCTCTATGCTGCCTCCTCTTGGGAATTATGAGTAATAAATTAATAAACTCTTTAATGGTAATCATCTCCTGATCTGTTGGCCTCACCATACCTGAATAATAATAAGGATACCTTTTAAGAGACATGATATGAAAGACAAAGTGTGGTTTGGGGTTAGAAATATAACTAATTATTTCAACCAAATTATTTCATGTCAAGTTCTCTTAGACATTCATTTGTTCAGCAGCCTTTTAAAGCCAAGCTCTTCCAATAAAGGATAAAATGATGAACAGGGAAGATACAATCTGAGTCTTGGAAAATGTACACTCAACTGTGATATACAGATGGATGATAATCACAATATGATGTGATAAAGAAAGGGATGGATACATGAGAACACCATGGTGCAGTGTTTACCATAACCTTCAACATTGAAGGAAATCTTCCCTTGACGTTTAAGGACAAAAGATAAAATGTAGGAATCGGGTGCCACCAATATTTTCTGAATATCACCTATTTAGATAGTCCCTGAACACCAGTTAATAACTGAACATCAGCTTCATCATTTATAAATTAGGATAAAAATATTTTCTGTAGTATTATTGTAAAGAATGATGAGATATTGTAGTTAAACTCTATAAAATATAATAGGAATCTATAGTTGAAGACACCAAACCCATATCCTTCTCTTACTGACTTCTATTCTCACCCTTCACTTTCCTATAAGTCTTGCATTTAACACCAGTCTAGCCAATATAGAACCAGCTTCCCCTGTGCTTTTCACGAAGAATCCAATTTGGCTGATGATATGACTTCAGACTGTATACCCTTGGGTGGGAAAACATGTGTTAAGTATTCTTTTAGCAGTCTGCCAAATCAATTCAATTGCATGTTTTGGAACACTAGATGTCTATTTACCTAAAGTAAAACAGATCAGCAAATCATCTCTAATGAACCTGATATGTGTATAGCAAATATATTTAGAAATTTAACCAGATGACCACAGTGACAACCAACATTTATGATCAAATACTACCATTAGGAAAATTGGTAGATAACACATTTAGCTCATGCGGTTTACTCCCTGAATTCCACTCTGTACACATACACAAACATATTTTACTAGACCTTAGGAGCCCTATTTTACTGGAAAAAAAAAGGCCTTTTAAAATTACCTTCAAGGCAAGATCTTTTAAATACCAAGATGGTAGCTAACAAGTATTTTAAATATACCTTTCTTGCACATAAAAATTATCAATAACAGCACTACATACATTTCATCCATTCATTAATGAATATACATTGAGTGTTGGGTGGCAAGGACTGTGCTAGGCACTGATAATTCAAGAATAGCAAAAGTAAAAATTTTCTTATTACCATACAGCTTACCATATAGTGGGAAAGATGGCAAACAACCATGAAACGTGTAAAACTGCCATCATTATAAGGACGGTTAATCAGGTAATAACATCTAATAAGGAGGTCTGGGGAAACTTTCCCAGATGATGATTGAACTGAAATATTGAGAATAATGAGAAGTCACCTGAGAATAGGGGAAACCGTATTCTAGCACCTGTGAAGGACATGGCAGAAAAGCACATGGTGTGTGTAAGGGACCACTCTACGTCATAAGTAGACGGAATAAAAACGTATTGTGAGATGAGGCTCACAATAGTGAGCTCACAAAGTGGGAGGACCAGACCATCCACAGCTTTGTAATCGTTGCTGAATAATTTATTATCTTTCTTATGAGAAAGGGGAAACATTGACCAGATTTAAGCAGGGATGTGATTTAATCAGATTTATATTTTTTTAAAGATCACTCTGGCCTTTGTATGTAGATTTGATAGCATTTGGATGCGCTGCTCAGAGGAGGCATCTGGTCTGGAAATATAAGTTTGTAAGTTGTGTGTGCATTAACAGGTAAGTGAAATATAAATGTCTAATGGGAGAGTACAGAATAAGAAGTAGGACTAGGCCCAAGCCTCAAAGAACTCCAAAGTTGGTGGCTAGATAAAGAAAGTTAAGAGAAAAAAAAAAATTCCAAAGAGGAAGGAAAATCACTGAGCAATACTACTTAAAAACCAATGGATGAGATACCATTGGTACCAGCTCAAGCTGTAGTTGGTCTGTAGTTGGTCTCACCAGCTTAGGAGTAGATGCTGTGAAGCTAATGATGCCTGAGACTTGAGATCCTTCACAGGCCTACATGGGCTCTATGAGTTTTGAGAGATACGGGAGAATTATAGAGTATTCCGGCTGGGGACAGCAGCCAGGTTAAAATCAGAAAATAAATATTTTCAGTAGACAATTTTTAGAGCAGTTTTGGGATCACAGCAAAGTTGAATGGAGGGTACAGAGATTTCTCCTATACTCCCTGCCCCCAACATTTTTGCTTATGTAAGAATTTTGGCAAATGCTTTAAAAATTCCCTAAATAAAAAGGATCTGACTCTTTAGGCCCATTCATTGGTTGAGACTTTTTTCTCAAAGTAAATAAATAATTACATTTTTAATCTAATTTTACATTTGGTACTTTGTATTCTTTTTCTTATAAATTCATAATTTCCATGGGGAGACCTGATTTCACTGCTACACCAGCCCCTTCAGAATCCCAATATTTAGCTATGTATAGATGGCTATTCGATAATCTCTTCTTTGTCACAATATCAATGAAAACTTCCTCCTAATAGCAAGTGTTTCTAGAAGAATCCCTGTCAGTCACCGCTGCCTTGATCCTACCCTTCTGCCCTAAGTGTCTCATGTGGAAGCATATAGATAGACATACCAGCATGGGCATAAAGTGTAAAGATTTTGTATCACATGTTAATGCCAAGCACAAACTGTCCACCATGGAAAAGTCAGTGAACAAGCAAGCAGACAAAATGCTGTCAGCTGTTTGATAGAAGCCAAATTTTGTCAAAATTGGCAAAATGGACACAAGAAAAGAGTGGCTCAGGTGGCAAAGACTGAGATTATGTAAGGGCCTGACAGCGTAGATTCCCATTTACCAAGGCCAATCTAGCTTTGGCTCCTTCTGAATATCCAAACCCATCAGAACAAACACCAATGCTGAGCCACCAACATAGCACTATCCATTGATAAGATCAAATGGTCAGTTTGTGGCAAGTGGACTGTATTGCCTCACTTTTATTTTGGTCAGTAGCCCAGTAGTTTGTTATCAAAGAGACAGATACTTAGTGTGTGCATGTGTGTGTGTGTGTGTGTGCCAACAAGCTCCAGGTATGCATGGTTTACAGAATTCCTGATCTACAGGCATGGGATGCCACACAACACAGCATCTGACTATGGGATCCACTTGTTAGCAAAAAAGTTATGGCAATAGGCCCAAAACAATGGAATCTGCTGGTTATATCACATGCTATATCATCCAATGGGTAACATCGTCAGGAATGCTGGGACAGCCTTCTAAAGGTGCAGCTGAAAGACCAGCTCAGAGGAAGCCCTCTGAAAGGAGGGAGTGCTGCCTGTCAGCATGAAGTTTATTATATTGGAGACTTCTGTGTGGTGCTGTGTCCCACTTCCCAAAAAACCCCACATACAACATACATCCAGCATACAAGATATGGAATCAGGAATGTTTCCATTTACCATAGCTCCCAGTGATTCACTGTGGAATTCACCTTTTCACAACTCTGGTTTCTACAGAATTGTAGGTTCTGATTCCTAAAAGGGACAAACTTCTACCAAGAGACACAGCCAGAGTCTCAGTGAACTACAAGTTAAGGCACATTGTACCCAAGGGCAAGCATGAAAAAACAGAAATCACCATACTGTCAGGGATAATGTACCCCAATCAGTGGTGGGTAGGGACTCTTTTACAAAATAGAAACAAAGAGAAATATTTGTGCAACCCAGATGATCCTCATGGGAGCACCCTAGTACTCCCTTGTTCCACTGTAATTGTAAATGGACATGTGCCACAACCCCAAACAGAACAGTGTGCCTATCAAAGGTTCTGTCCCTTCAGGTATGAAGGTGTGGGTCGTAAACCACAAAGACCAGCAGACATGATAGCTGAAGATGTGAGGAATTCAGAATGGATAGTAAAAAGAAAGATGAGGGGAACAGCTGCAAAAAAATAAATAAATAAATAAATAAAAGGGTTGTCGTTCATTCCATTAAATTCCGTTCCTCTTAGAAAGAAAAGGGAGCAATGGAAAGAGGCTCCCAAATCTGTGGGGGGGGGAATTGAGAAAGAATAGAAGAAGGCTCCGTGAGATCATCAGATTGTGATGCATGCAATTTGATACAAAATAAAGGAGAAAGTGAGAGGAACTTGGAAGGAAATGTCCTGATTGTCAGACAGTCTCAGGGAGGTTCAGCAAAATTTTGGAGAGCCCTTGAGCCAAAGTTGTCTACGGGAGTAGTTTGGCGTCTCCCAGCCATGAGCCTGCCTTAGTCTTCCTACTATATCAAATCACTGGCTGAGAATAGCCCTTTGGAAGCATTGCTTCAGGAAGCCACAGGTTTCAAAGCAGAGAAGCTGGTGCTGTCAATTGATTTGCTTCCTGTAGTTGGAGGTCTGCAAGCACATTTTCATGGCCATCACAGTCATTTATTTATTTAAATTGTAATGTTCATGTGAAGCATAAAATCCACCTAACTAGTTTAAGAAATTTTAGGTAAAACATATAAAAATTATCGTCTCAGTAGTATTCCCAGAAATTTCTTAGTATCGTCTCTACGTCATCTTCTAGATTTCTTCAAATACCTATTCTGTCTCATCATTGCCCTTAAAGTACTCCTGCTTTCAATAGTTCTTAGACTGCAGAAGCAAACTTCTAATAGGTATCCCTAAGCTGGTTTTACCTTTTTCTAGAACATTTGGCAAACAGCTCTTGATCTAATTATTCTAATAAATCAATATGATCATTCACTACTCTGCCAAAAATTCTTAAATGTTTCCCATCTGTGATGGTTAATATTAAGTGTCAATTTGATTGGACTGAAGAATGCAAAGCGTTATTTCTGGGTGTATCTGGGTGTTTCTGGAGATTGCCCAAAGAGATTGACATTTGAGTCAGTCGACGGGGAAAGACATGCATGCCCTCAGTGTGGATGGGCACCATTCAATCAGCTACCAGCGTGGCTAGAAAAGCAGGCAGAAGAAGGTGGAAGGAGCTAAGTTGCTGAGTATTCAGGCCTTCATTTTTCTGCTGTGCTGGATGCTTTCTACCCTCAAACATCAGACTTAGTTTGTTTTTTTTTTTTTAATTTTGGACTCTTGGACATACACCAGTGGTCTGCCAGGGGCTCTCAGGCCTTCAGCTACAGACTAAAGGCTGAACTGTTGTCTTCCCTACTTTTGAGGTTTTGGGACTCGGACTGAGCTACTACTAGCTTCCTTGTTCCTCAGCTTGCAGATGGCCTATTATGGGAATTCACTTTGTGACTGTGTGAGTCAATTCTCCTTAATAAACTCTCTTTCGTATATACATATATCCTCTTAGTTCTGTCCCTCTAGAGAACTCTAGCTAATACACCATTCTTATTCTAGTATATAATGTCTACTATTCCAGCTTCACTCCTTACACTCTCCCGTATGGAAGCAATGATGATATTACCAATATTTCCTAGATGGTTTTCATTTTATCCTCCAAATTTTAAGTGTATACTATTCCTACTTTCTCCTTCAAAAAAGATGAGGAGGAATGGCCCATATTTTCTTGTTTTTCACCCATGACAACTATCATTTCCTCTGGGCGGCTTCTCAGGTAAAGTTAATTGTTATATCTATTTGTCCTATGGACTATATAGATAACTGTATCTATTACTTAGGATATTATACTGACGTTATTTGTTTGTAGGTCCATCTTGCCTTTGGAGGAAATAGTACAAACTGAGACCTGGATTTGAATTTTAGCCTTTCATATTATCATGTAAGTTCTATGAAAGTTTATTTCATCATTTGTCAAATGGGAGAACAGTAGTCTTTATGTATGGCCGTTCATGATTAAATGATATGATGTCTAAGGAAACTAACAAATGATGGATATTATCAGTAGCTAGCAATCATTGAGTGCTTGCTCAACAATAGACACTATCCTAAGTATCTTCTAAATTTTTAAAACAATCCTAAGCACTTTATTATCTTAATCTTAAAAATGAGGACCTGAAGCAGAGAGAGGCTAAATAATTTGCTATCATATTTATTAAAGTATATTTGTCAGGATTCGAACCCAAAGGCAGTATGACTAAAGAAGAGCATATGCTCATCCAGTAAACTCTTAAATGTTGGCTGCTCAATATTGGTATATTAATATCAGTTTAATTATGTAGGTTTAATTAGTATAGGTTTACTAATATAGGTTTATTCATTTTTCAGCCCATCTTTTCACCATATATATATATGTGTGTATTTATATACACATATATATGTATGTATGTATGTGTGTGTTCATATTTACTTCAAATAAGGACCAAGATTTATTTATTCTGTTTCATCTCTATACCCCTAGCAGTTAGCACATGACTAGAAGAGAGGAACTACCAAATACATGGGGTTTAAATGAATGTTCCTGTGGGAACGCATTGTTTAATGAAAGCAGTCTTAGTTACAACATTGGAAAGCCAGTGTTGTGGGGCCTAAGCCCAAAACACAATAGCAAAGGACCAATTTGTGTCAGGGCATGTTTTAGGCAGAATTTTTAGAGAAGTGTGATTAATAGGCAGAGAACAGGGTCAGCCAGTGTCATAGGGCATGGCTGATTTAGAAGTTTATCAGCAACAAGGTACATGATAGGCTGAGATATAGTCAGAAATACGGGTCACAATCACATCAACTGAACAGACATGTTGATGCTTAGTAAATGGATAAAGTCATGGTCAGAGTTGCTGACTGGGACAATGATGGATCGAGGATCAAGACAGCAACAGAAACAGTTCCTGAGAGTCCTCATGCTCGGAATGGCATGTTCTCCAAAGATTGATGTTCCTTTATTTGTTACTTATCACATTTTCTCATATATTTTCTACTTGCTGAAGAGGAAGAAAGGCAAAGTGTAAATTGAGGGATAGGTCACTTCTGATGTCTAAGCTGGGTTCCCAAAAAGCAGAACCAGAAACAGAGATCGTTTTCAAAGTGATTTTTTTTTTCTGAAAATACTACCAAAAGAATTGGAAAGAGGGAATTAAAATAGGTCAAGAGCTAAGTAAGTAAGAAGCTAAGTAAGAAGAACGTGGACTCAACTAGATACTGGCTACTGTATAACCTCACGGAATTTGCTTTAGAGGACAAAGAACACCACAGTGTTAGTCCTAACTTGAAGCGAGTCTGTCATCTACATCAGGCAGTATTGAACTGAAGGTGGCCTTAGCATGAAGATTGGAGGAGTGTAACTTCTTGGGCTAAGTGGTTTTTATCAGCAGAGAACAATGCTCTAGGGGAAGAGTGGCAGCTATGAGCAATACAGACCACTCTCAGGGGCTGGAGGCTGAATGAGCTGCCCTGGCAAAAGGAAAAGCTGGCGGTGGAGTGGTGATGGTGGCAAAGGCTGTTACAGCACTGTTTATCATGTTTCACATTAGAAGAGACACAGTCACTCATTATTTTCTTTAGGCTCCCAAGCCTCCATCAAAACATACCAATAGCTGTTCGTTACATTATTATATTCTATCTCCTTAGCTTCTTCCCTCTCTTTTGTCTTAACAGCCAATTTTACAGACTTTGGTCACGCCCTAATACTTTCTATTGCGTTTCATCGCAATAGAAATACTGCTGACAGACTATTAGTCTAAAATGCAAGGAATATTATGATTCCAGTGACTTCAAGTATTTTCCATAAATTTCAGGATAATACATTTTGCAATACAAGTATACCAGCAATACCCAACTACCTGTGACTCTCCAACCAACACTCTTTTCTTTCTGCATTTGGGTTTGGCCTGGAGTTCTCTCTGCCCAGCTCTGCTTCTGGCTAGCTCTTTTCCAAATGTCTTGTTTTATAACAGAATTTATCTAATTAGTGTAACCTTCTTTGATAGCTTCAGGCAAATTTAGGAGCTTTTCCTTCTATGTCCCTTTTATATTTTCAGGGTACCTTATAGCACTTAGCATAGATTGTTACGATTTTTCTGGTATGTCGTCTTTCTCATTAGACAGTAAGCATCTTAATGACACTAACTGAATCTTCTTGTCTTTAAATCAACAATGTCATACAGTCCCTGTCACATAGTAAACTCTCATACAACAGGTGTTTAAAGGGTGAACCAATAAATGAGAGGACATTTGATTTAAAGCCTTCTTCTTGTCACTTACTACTCTGATTATTTGAGTAGACCTTTTTTTATTGTTGGTAACCTAGCATTTTCCCAAACCCACACTTCTCTATTCATCGGATGGATTTTGTTTAGCACAGAAAGAGCGTGCAGTGGCAAACAATTGAGGAGGGGGCTTACATACCACCAATGGATACTTAAAGAAAGATGCTCTAGGCCGGGCACAGTGGCTCACGCTTGTAATCCCAGCACTTTGGGAGGCTGAGGCGGGCAGATCACAAAGTCAGGAAATCGAGACCATCCTGACTAACACTATGAAACCGCGTCTCTACTAAAAATACAAAAAATTAGCCGGGCGTGGTGGCTGGCGCCTGTAGTCCCAGCTACCGGGAGGCTGAGGCAGGAGAATAGCGTGAACCCGGGAGGCGGAGCTTGCAGTGAGCCGAGATCGCGCCACTGCACTCCAGCCTGGGCGACAGAGTGAGACTCCGTCTCAAAAAAAAGAAAAAAAAAAGATGCTCTAAAAAAGGTTATGATGTTATGATGTCTCTCAAGTTCTACTAAATATAATTTTTTTCTTTTTAGAAATTTTTTGCACACCAACATGGCACATGTATACATATGTAACGAACCTGCATGTTGTGCACATGTACCCTAAAACTTAAAGTAAAAAAAAAAAAAAAAAAGAAATTCTTTTGTTACATAGGTCTCTCTTAGGGAGACAGGCAGTCAGATGAGGAAATGCTTCTGAGTTATCCCAGTTCACTGTGAAGTGGATAACATTCTTAGGCCACTAGGGGGCTACAGGTATTCATTCACTCTGGGAATTTGTTTTCTGAGTCACTGCTTCATATACTAAAAAGATGAGAGAGAATTGCCAAAATACGTAAGAGGGGAAGTTTAATAAATTACATTTCATCCATTCTGGACATCCTTAGAAATAACACTTTTTCACTTGAAATTAGAAGCCAGCAACGTTTTGTCTTAAATCAGTCGTTGGACAGTGAGAACAAAAGTTTTGGGATAATCGAGACCTGGATTTCAGATCCATCTCTGTCACTTACTAGCTGAGTTACCTTTGAAAACGGCCTACTCCTTTTTGAGCCTCAGTGTACTCATTTGTAAATCCAAACCATTTTGAGACTAAATGACAAAACAGTTTAAAGTGTCAAATGAGTATAATAAATAACATGTACTCAATACATGTAAGCAATTTTGATTATTATTGTTCCATACCAAAGAGTTTACAATATGGCCCAGAAACAAAAACAGTACAAATGGCCTAAGATTATATTAGTAAGAGTAGTGTATACTCTCAATGTGGCTTGCTTTCTTCCCCTTCTGGTAGCTTTTCCAGGTGATTAAATAGGGACTTGTGTCCATTAAACAAAAATAGCAAGGGAAGAAGAAGAAACTGCATCCTATTTCACAGCCAACTACATGGAGACAGAAGTCACAGAGATGAGGTAGACAGTGGCAGGCATTAGAGAGAACAGGTTGAAACCTAAAGCCTGCTACAAGTAAAGAAACATACCATTGAAAGTTTTGCAGTTCTTGTAAATATACAGTGTATTGGGAGGTCTCACTCTTCCCTCCCTCTTATGATAGGTCTTGGAAAAGTTTTGTGGAAATGCAATCCCAGAGTGATTCATATCTTAACCACTTCCATTACTCATACAATCCATTCAGTTAAGGTACAGTCACTGAACAATTATTTTTGTGCTATATAATGTTCCAAAAAGGGGTCAAGATATTTAAAAAAACTTTATTCATTTAATAAATTGGCGTATTCCATAATCAGGTACAATATTAGGGGACAGAAGGATATAGTAGCCAAAAAGACAAGTGTAGTCTCCACACATATGCAAATTATAGCAAGTTAAATAGAGACATGCAATAAACAGAAAGTCACACAAATGACCAATTATTTGTACTTGTAGGGTTATAAGAGCCAAGTGGGAGGGCATAAAAATTAATTATGAAAGTGGGAAGGTGCCACAGGCATACTTAACCAATTTCACAATTTGCCAACGGCTAACTTTTGCTAAGTCTAATACAAGGCTTTGATTTTACATTTGATGAAATTTCCCAACATGCTCCTATGATCAGCTCAGGGAACAGACACTGCCCTAAGAGTGCCTGTTATTGACAAATCTTTGGTCTTCTTTCCAGAATTATCAGAGTTTGGATGAAAGTGAGAAAATAAATTTGTGGGGACTTGCTCCTCGAGACAGGAGAGACATTTTCAGTTGAAGGAATTTGTTCTGGGATTCCAGGGGAGAGTTCAATCCTTTCAGGCTGGTATAGCCATAGCCAGTTCACCTTCATGCTTGAGGCTCCAAAAACCCAACCATATTTAGCTGAATGATAATGGGGGTTGTATGAGTTTATTCTTGTGTTGCTATAAAGAACTACTTAAGATTGGGTAATTTATATACAAAAACATGTTTAATTGGCTCATAGTTCTGCAGGCTGCACAGGGAGCATGGCTGGAGAGGCTTCAGGAAACTTTCAAACATGGTAGAAGGCAAAAGGAGAAGCATGCACTTGTTCTCATGGCAGGAGGGGAAGCATGCACTTATTCCCATGGCAGGAGGGGAAGCATGCACTTATTCTCACGGCAAGAGCAGGAGGAAGAGAGAGAGTGAAGGGAAAGGTGCCACACACTTTACAACAACCAGAGTTCATGAGAACTCACTCACTATCACAAGAGAAACAAGGAGGAAGTCTGCCCCTGTGATTCAGTCACCTCTCACTAGGCTCCTCCACCAACACTGGGGATTAAAATTTGACATGAGATTTGGGTGGGGACACAGAGCCAAACCATATCATTCCACCCCTGACCCCTCCCATACCTCATGTTCTTTTCACATTTAAAACACAATAATGCCTTCCCAACAGTCCCCTAAAGTTTTAACTCATTCCAGAATTAACTCAAAAGTCCAAGTCCAAAGTCTCATCTGAGTCAAGGCACATCTCTTCCACTTCTGAGCCTATAAAATAAAAAACAAGTTAGTTAGTTCCAAGGTACAATAAAGATACAGGAATTGGGTAAATTTTTTTGATCAAAAGGGATAAATTGGGCAAAACAAAGGGACTACAGGCCCCATGCAAGTTTGAAACCCAGCAGAGCAGACCACATGCAAGTCTGAAACCCAGCAATGCCAGCCTGCGAGGGTGAAACTGCCCAGGGCCTTAAGAGTTCACCTGTTGCATCAGTGTGGCCTGGATGTGAGACATGGAGTCAAAGTAGATAATTTTGGAGCTAATCTTAAAACTCCAAATCTTAAATCTCCAAAATAATCTTCTGGGCAGCTTCACCATTGTGGTTCTGCAGGGTACAGGCACTGCAGCTGCTTTCACAGGCTAGCATTGAGTGTCTGTGGCTTTTCCATGTGAGTAGTGCAAGCTGTTGGTGGACCTACCATTCTGGGATTGCAGGATGGTGGCTCTCTTCTTCCAGCCCCACTAAGCAGTGCCCCAGTGGGGACTCTGTCTGGGGGCTCCAAATGCACATTTCCTTTCCACACTGCCCTACTAGAGGTTGTCTATGAGCACACTGCCCCTTTAGCAGACTTAAGCCTGGACATCTAGGCACACTGCCTCTTCAGCAGATTTCTGCCTGGACTTCTAGGCATTTCCATACAGCCTCTGAAACCTAGATGGCGGCTCTTAAGCCTCAACTCTTGCCCTCTGCACACCTGAAGGCTTAACACCGCATGGAGATCTTGGTGTTTTCTGGCTTGCAGCCTCTGTAGCAGTGGCCTGAGATGTGTCTGGGGCCCTTTTAACCATGGCTGGAGCTGGAACAGTTGGGACACAGGGCACCATGTCCCAAGGCTGCACAGAGCAGTGGGGCCCTGGGCCTAGCCCATGAAAGCATTTCTTCCTCCTGGGCCTCCTGGCCTGTGATGGGAGGGGCTGCAGTAAAGGTCTCTGAAACGCCTTGGAGGCATTTTCCCCATTGTCTTGGCTATTAACATTCAGTTCCCCTTTACTTATGCAAATTTATGCAGCCAGCTTGAATTCTTCCCCAGAAAATTGGTTTTGGTTCTGCATAAACTTCAAAATTGGTTCTGTAGGCTGTACAGGTAGCATGGATGACTCAGGAAACATTCTGTCATGTCAGAAGGCCAAAGGGGGACTAGGCATATCTTTACATAGCAGGAGCAGGAGGAAGAGAGAGAGTGAAAGGGAAGGTGCAACACACATTACAACAATCAGATCTCTTGAGAACTCACTATCATGAGAACAGCAAAAGGGAAGTCTGCCACCATGATTCAACCACCTTCCACTAGGCCCCTCCTCCAACACTGGGCATTAAAATTTGACATGAGATTTATGTGGGGACACAGTGCCATACCATATTAGAAGTCTATCTTAAAAAGTCTGTGGTTTATAAAGAGATCCTGTGAGGAGGCCATACAGTACAGTAGAGTGACAGAGGGTAGAGTCTCTGATGGGAAACTGCCTGAGTTTACTCTTGACTGCCATTTACAGATGATAGAATCATGGGCACGTCGCTTAACCTTGCTATGGCTCATCTCATGAGCATCATTTCATATACACATTTGGAATAGACCTCAGAAGGTTGTTGTGAGAGTTAAATGAGACAAAACATATAACACACAAAAATGTCCTCTGTACATGGGAAATGCCTGCTAAACATTAGCTATGTTTTTATGTGTAGGTGTATTACATATATAAAACTAATGAATTTCTTTTATGTTATAAGAATACATTTAAATACAAAAATCTCCCTTCCCCAAACCTACTCGTTGCTCTTTTCTTTAAATTAACGTCTTGTTAATTTGCCCAAACCCTAAAGCACAGTACTTTCCTCTGTCCGTTTTCTTTCATCTTTTCTTATCTTCCTGATAATTTCAAAATCCTTGAAGCGCTGTTTCTCTGCCTTTAGCCAAACAAGCTGCCCACTAGGAAGCGCATAAAGACCACCCAGAGCAAAGCAGATCCACCCAACATGAGCTGATGTTGATACTGCCAATCCCAATTTGCCTGGTTCCTGGGAAGCTTTGTATTAAAAAGTGCTGTCACATATTTTTAATTTCCCCAGTGAGTCAGCTCTCCCTCTATGCTGCCCTACTAAAGAACTAGATAATATCAGAATGTGAAAGAAGACACGCTGTTCCAGAACTCAAGTTTTTCGTTCTTCTTGATTCAAAAGTAAATTTGTGAACATGGGGTATTGTGTCATATGAGGAAATGAATTAGGTTAACAAAGAATTAAGAACACAATATTATGTTCACAGTTAGACCACTTTCATGTAGACTGAATTGTACATAATTATTCTAATGTGATTGAATTGGGAAGATTCAAGCACTGTGGCTAAATCTGTATAATCCTTTTTGTTCTTGTTGAAGCAGTTACTTTGTATATTTGAGCATTGTCTTTTTGTCACCTTTACTTGAACCAAATTTATTCAAAGTCAATGGTATTTTCTATTCCTAGAAAGACACTGACATTTTAAGTCATTTCTTTAGGAAAAACTTAAAGTAAATCAGCAAAGTAAGCAAATTACAAGAAAAGCTAACCACGGACTTTTTCTATTGGAGAAAAATAGAATTGAAGTGAATCAATGTTTTAAATATATTTACACTAGTCAGATCAACTTCATGACTAATCCACTCAGCTAAATAGGATGCAATTTGTAAGTCAGTTTACTGAAAAAGCAAAACATGATAGTGCCAGTCAGCTTCTCCCTGAACTTTATTACCTAACTTTTTTAGATCTGCCTTCCCTAAGTCTATAATTAGATAATGGCTTTAATTAAGCCATTGAGCTTTTAACTATAGCAAAAGCTGCTCTGATGCAGTTTCCAAGCCAACTTAATGATAAATCAGAATAAATATAAGCAATCTCACTCACTCACATTACCAGCAATCTCCTTTCTTCCCACAGTATCACTAACATGTGCATAACCAGAAGGGCTTAGAATCAGTTCATCACATTGGTACTTCATCAAATTTGATCTTGGGACTTCTGCATTATAATCAACAATACAATGTAATTCTGCTGGATCTCTTACAGAATTTCCAACACATTTTCAATTGTTATGTATTCCTAGATTATTCAACTGGATTATCTTTCGTGTTATTATTGTCTTTAGATCTCGTTTTAGAGTCTCACCTAGCTCCCAAATTCCCCTACAGCAAGGGTCCTTCTTTCATTTTGCCTGTCATACCTTGCTTAACTAAAGTACTGTACCTGATCTCCAATTCATGCCTATGGCCTTGATGGGGGACAAATCATCCAGAGGCTTCACCCCTTACACTCTGTACTCTGCCCAGTGAGGACGGCACAGGGGCAGAATGATGTACACTTTAGATTGGACTACTAACCTTTAGAAGTCTTAGCCATCTCATCTAAATTGCCTGTTTCCCCCAGCCCCTGACTCTAATAGCCTAAGATTGTACACATTTTCAAAGATATACTCATACCCTTCTATTATAGAAGTAGCTCTCTGAATTCATGACATTTAAAATTTTAAGTTAAATGACAGTCAGAAGACTAGCATGTCTTCATGTGTTTTCTTTAATTCCACTAAAAATAAGACGAAAGCTATATGGTAAATATCCTATATGAAATAAATAATAAAAATAAAACAATGAGAAAGTTATAGTACACAGAGGGAATGATCATAAATGGATTTTTTTCAAACATGATCAATGCAAACACAAATATTTAAAACTAAAATAATTTAACATTAATGATCTTCCATATCATTTAAAACAATTTCATTTTACTTTGTTCTAAAATTCTTGGGCATGGCAAGAGAATAAGATCTGTAAATAATGAAGGGAACATAAGACATTCCATAAACAAAACATTAATGGTAGAATTAAACGTATCAAGAAGCTTTAAATAAGTAGGCCCATTTCAAAGATTTCAGAAGCAAATTGTAAAAACTATATTCCCTGGTGTAAAAATTATTGCTTCTCAAAAACTGATTCATATCATAGGAGGCAGAGCAAGATTACAGAAGAGAGAGCTTCACCAAACATCTTCCATGCAAAGACACCAAGTTAACAACTATCTACACAGAAAGAAACACCTTGTAAGAACCAAAAATCAGGTAGGCACTCATAGTAACTAGGTTTTTGTTTGTTTGTTTTATTTTTTGTGGGTTTTTTTGTTTTTGTTTGTTTGTGTGTTTTTTTGAGACAGAGTCTAGCGCTGTTGCCCAGGCTAGAGTGCAGTGGCATGATCTCAGCTCACTGCAACCTCCTCCTCCCGGGTTCAAGCAATTCTTCTGCCTCAGCCTCCCAAGTAGCTGGGACTACAGGTGCACACCATCATGCCTGGCTAATTTTTGTATTTTTAGAAGAGACAGGGTTTCACCATATTGGCCAGGCTGGTCTCGAACTCCTGACCTCATGATCTGCCTGCCTCAGCCTCCCAAAGTGCTAGGATTACAAGCATGAGCCACTGCACCTGGCCAGTACCTGGTTTTAACTTCATTTTGCTGAAAGAGGCACTAAAGAGATAGAAAAAGCAGTCTTGAATCGCCAAAACCATCACTCCCCCACTCCATGCAGCAGCAGTGTGCTGAGATCATCTCTGGGCATTAGGTGAGGAAGAACACAGCAACTGTAAGGCACTGAACTCAGTTCAGTCCTGTTAGAGCAGAAAGAAAAGCTGAACCAAACTCAGCTGATGCTTACCCACAGAGGAAGCCTTTAATCAGCCTTAGCCAGAGGAGAATCACCTTCCCATGGTCTGAACTTGTGTGCCTACAAACCTCGTCACGCAGGGCCAAAGTGCTCTCAGTCTCTCAGTAAATTTGAAAGGCAGTCTAAGTCACAAGGACTTCAACTCTTAGGCAATTCTAGGGCTGAACTAAGCCCAGAGACAGTGGACTGGGAGGGCACACAACAAACTGAGACACTAGCTGGGGCAGCCAAGGGAGTGCTGGCACAACCCCTTCCCTAATCTCAGGCTGCACAGCTTGTGGTCCCAAAAGGGACCCCTTCTTCTGCTTGAGGAGAGGACAGGGAAGAGTGGGGAAAACTTTGTCTTGCATCCTGAGTATCAGCTCAGCCACAGCAAGATAGGGCACTGATAACAGTGATAAAGCCCCCATTCCAGGCCCTAGCTCCAAGATAACATTTCTAGACACACCCTGGGCAAGAAGGAAACCCATAGACTTGAAGAAAAGGACTTAGTTCTACCAGCATTCATCACTTGCTTACTGAAAAGCCCTTGGACCCTGAATAACCACCCAGCTATTACTGAAAGGCATTGAGTGACCCTCTGAGACTTACTGGTTTAATGTACCAAACAGTCACAAGGGGGTAGAGCACTAAGCAGACTCTTTGGGCTCACAGTTCCAGGATATGACTCTTTGATGGCAATTTCTGGATTTACCATGGGCCAGAGGTGAGTCCCAGGCCAGGCAACGTTCACCACAAGCTGACTTAAGAGATCTTGGCCCTTAAGGGAACATGGTTGGTAGTCTGGCAGTACTCCCTGTGGCCAAGGGTGGCAGTGGTTGCTCGGTGAGTCTCCTCTGCCTTTGGAAAGGGGACGGAAGAATGGGAAGGACTGCATTTTGTGTTTTAAGTGCCAGATCAGCCTCAATATAATAAAATACAAGGTAGACTTCTAAAGTTTTTGAATCTAGCCTAAGAATCCTGAATGGCACTTCTGGACCCACTCAGGGCCTAAGGGACCCTGACACACTAAAGGAAGAACACAGGCTTGGCTGGCTTTTCCACCTGCTGATTGTAGAGCCCCAGGACCTTGAACAAACAGAGACAGTAGCCAGGGAGTAGTTACAGCAGGCCTTGGGCAAGTTCCAGCACTGTGCTAGCTACAGGTCTGACCCAGCACAGTAATAGTGGCGGTGGTCACAGGGGTGCTTGTGTTACTCCACCTTCCTCCCAGCTTTAGGTGGCTCAGAACAGAGAGAGAGAGAGAGAGAGAGAGAGAGAAAGAGAGAGAGACTCTTTATGTTTGGGAGAAAGTAAACAAAGAAAAAGAGAACAAGAATCTCTTCATTGTAATCTATAGAAATTCCTCACATATTATCCAAGACAATCAAGACAGTACCTCTATGAGTCTACAAGAATCACAGTGCTACTGGGTTGAGGTGCTCCTTAAAGCAGAAACAGCTTAGATCATAGCACCCAAGTTCTTTCAAATATCTGGAAAGCCTTTCCAAGAAGGATGGTGAAAAATAAGCCCAGACAGCAAAGACTACAATAAATATCTAACTCTTCAGTGCCCAGAAACCAAAGAACATCTACTTGCATCAGCACCACCCAGGAAAACATGACCTCACCAAATAAATTAAACAAGGCACCAGGGACCAATACTGGAGAAACAGAGATAGGAGATCTTCCAGGCAGAGAATTCAAAATAGCTGTGTTGAGAAAACTCAAAGAAATTCAAGATAACATGAAAAAAAATTCTGAATTCTATCACATAAATTTAACAAAGAGATTGAAATAATTTAAAAGAATAAAGTAGAAATTCCAGAGCTGAGAAATGTGATTGGCACATTGAAGAATGCATAATAGTCTTTTAATCACAGAATGGATCGAGAAGAAGACAGAATTAATGAGCTTAAAGACAGGCTTTATTTGAAAATACAAATCAACAGGAGAAAAAAAACAATGAAGCATGCCTACAGGGTCTGGAAAATAGCATCAAAAGGGCAAGTTTAAGAATTACGGGCATGAAAGAGAAGGTAGAGAAAAAGATAGGGGTAGAAAGTGTATTCACAAGAATAATAACAGGGAATTTCCACAATTTAGTGAAATATATTGATATCCAATTACAAGAAGGTTATAGAACACCAAACAGATTTAACAAAAAGACTACTTCAAAGCATTTAACAATTAAACTCCCAAAGGTTAGGAATAAAGAAAGGATCCTAAAAGCATCAAGAGAAATGAAACAAATAGCATGCAATGGAGCTCCAGTACATCTGGAAGCAGACTTTTCAGTGGAAACCATACAGGCTAAGAAAGAGAGGCATGAAATATTAAAAGTGCTGAAGGAAAACAACTTTTACCCTAGAATAATATATCTGGTGAAAATATTCATCAAACATGAAAGAGAAACACTTTCCCAAACAAACAAAAACTGATAGATTTTATCAATACCAGACCAGTCTGACAAGAAATGCTAAAGGGTGTACTTCAATCAGAAAGAAAATAACATTAATGAACAATAAATAATCACCTGAAGGTACAAAACTTCCTGGTAATAGTAAGTACATAGAAAAACACAGAATATTTTGACACTATAACTATGGTGTGTAAACTATTCTTATCCTAAGTAGAAAGAATAATTGATGAACCAATCAAAAGTAATAACTACAACAACTTTTCAGGACATAATCAGTACAATAATACAAAAATTAAAAACAACCAAAATTAAAAGGTGGAGGGATGAAGTTAAGGTGAATTTTTGTTAGTTTTCTGTCTGCTTGTTGGTTTGTTTATACAAATATTATTTAGTTGTTGTCAGGTTAAATTATTTGGTTATAAGATACTATTTGCAAGCTTCATAGTAACCTCAAACCAAAAAACATACAATGGATACACAAAACATAAAAAGCAAGAATCTAAATAATATCACCAGAGACAATTACCTTCACTAGAGGAAGACAGCAATGAAAGAAAGAAGAAAGAGAATATTACAAAACAATCACAAAAAAATAACAAAATGGCAGGAGTAAGTCTTTACCTATCCATAATAACATTGAATGTAAATGGACTGAACTCTCCTATCAAAAGACATAAACTGACTATCTGGATGGAGAAACAAGACCTATTGATCTGTTGCTTACAAGAAACACACTTCACCAAAAAACACACAAATAGACTGAAAATAAAGGGATAGAAAGAGATATTTCCTGCCAATGAAAACCAAAAAAGAACAAGAGTCATTGCACCTATGTCAGACAAAATAGATTTCAAGACAAAAACTATTTGAAGAGACAAAGAAGCTTACTATATAATGATAAAGGTGTCAATTCAGCAAGATAATATAATAATTTTAAATATATATGCACCAAACACTGGAGCACCCAAATATATAAAGGAAATATTATTAGGGCTAAAGAGAGAGATAGACCCTAATACAATACTAATTGGAGACTTCAACACCCCTCTTTCAGCATTGGACAGATCTTCCAGACAGAAAATCAACAAAGAAACATCAGACTTAATCTGTGCTACAGGCCAATTGGATCTAATAAGTATTTACAAAACATTTCATCGAACAGCTGAAGAATATGCATTCTTTTTCTCGGCACATAAATTATTCTCAAGAATAGACCACGTTAGGTCACAAAGCAAGTCTTAAAAAATTAAACAAAATGAAATACTATCAAGCATCTTCTCTGACCACAATGGAATAAAACTAGAAATTAATAACAAGAGGAATTTTGGAAACTATACAAATACAAGAAAATTAAACAATATGCTCTTGAAGGACAAGTGGGTCAATATGAAAATTAAGAAGAAAATTGAAAAATTTAGTGAAACAAATGCTTATGGAAACACAACATACCAAAACCTATGGGTTATAGCAAAAGCAGTACTCAGAGGGAAATTTATTGCTATAAATGCCTAAATCAAAGAGAAGGAAAAAACTTTAAATAACTAGTCTAATTATGTATCTTAAAGAACTAGAAAAAGCAGAGTAATCCCCCCAATAGAAGAAAAGAAATAATAAAGATCAGAACAGAAATAAAATTGAAATAAAAAAACACAAAAGATCAATGAAACAAAAATTTGATTTTGTAAAAGTTAAACAAAATTGACAAACTTTTACCCAGACTAAGTAAAATAGAGAGAAGATCCAAATAAATAAGTCAGAAATGATAAGGAGAAATTACAACTAATACTGTAGAAATTTAAATAATCATTAGTGGCCACTACGAGCAACTATATATCAATGAAATGGAAAATCTAGAAGAAATGGATATATACAAACTACCAAGATTGAGCCAGAAAGAACTCCAAAGTCTGAACAGACAAATAACAAGCAATGAGATTGACTCTGTAATAAAAACTTTTTCAGTAAAGAAAAACCCATCACGTAATGGCTTCACTGCCAGATTTTATAAAACATTTAAAGAAGAACTAATACTAATCCTCTTCAAGCTATTCTGAATAATAGAGGAGGAAGGAATACTTCCAAACTCCTTCTAGAATGCCGGTATTACTCTGACACCAAGACCAGACAAAGACACATCAAAAAAAGAAAAGTACAGGCCAATATCTCTGATGAATATTGATGCAAAAATTCTCAACAAAATACTAGCAAACCAAATTCAACAATACATTAGAAAGATCATTCATCATGTCAAAATGGGATTTATCCCTGGGATGCAAGGATGATTCAACATATGCAAGTCAATCAACATGACATCATATCAACAGAATGAAGGATAAAAACCATATGATCATTTCAATTGATGCTGAAAAAGCATTTAATAAAATTTGACATCCCTTCATGATAAAGACCTTCAAAAAACTAGGGATAGAAGGAACACACACCTCAACATAAAATTCATATACAAAAGATCTACAGCGGGTATTGTACTGAATGAAGAAAAAGCTGAAAGTGTTTCCTCAAAGATCTGGAACACAATGATGCCTGCTGTTACCTCTGTTTTTCAGCATAGTACCAGAAATCATGGCTAGAGCAGTCAGACAAGAGAAAGACATAAAAGGCATCCAGATGAAAGGAAGAAGTCAAATTTTTCTCATTTGCTAATGATTTGATCCCATATTTGAATAAAACCTAAAGAATCCACAAAAAATATTAAAACTGATAAAAAAGTTCAGTAAAGTTGCAGAATATGGTATCAACCTACAAAATTTAGCAGCATTTCTAAATAGCAGCAGTAAACAATGTGAAAAACAAATAAAAAACCAATCCCATCTAAAATAGTCACACATAAAATTAAATGCCTATGAATTAACTGAACCAATGAAGTGAAAGACCTCTATAATAAAAACTATAACATGCTGATAAAGGAAATTGAGAGGACACCAAATGTGGGAAAAATATTCTACGTTCATAGATTGGAATAGTTGATATTGTTAAAATGTCTACACTACTCAAAGCAATCTACAGATTTAATGCAATCCCTGTCAAAATGTCCATGATAGTCTTCACAGAAATAGAAGAAACAATCCTAAACTGTATGTGGAACCACAAAAGATGCATAATAGCCAAAGCTATCCTAAGCCAAAAGAACAAAACTGGAGTAATCACATTACTGGTCTTCAAATTATACTACAGAGCTATAGTAACCAAAACAGCATGGTACTGGCATAAAAGCAGGCACAAAGACCAGTGGAACATAACAGATAACCCAGAAACAAATCCACACACCTACAGTGAACTCAGTTTTGACAAAGCTGCCAAGAACACACACTGGTGAAAAGAGTTTCTTCAATAAATATGCTGTGAAAACTGAATGTCCATATGCAGAAGAATGACTCTAGACTCCTATCTCTTGCTAAATACAAAGATCAAATCAAAATGGAATAAAGACTTAAATCTGACCTCAAACTGTGAAACTACTATAAGAAAACATTGAAGAAAATCTTCAGGACTTGATCTGGGCCAAGACTTCTTGAGCTATACGCTACAAGTAGAGGCAACCAAAGCAAACATGGACCAACAGGATCACCTCAAGTTAAAAAGCTTCTACACAGCAAAGGATAGAAAACAACAAAGTTGGCTGGGTATGGTGGCTCATTCCTGTAATCCCAACACTTCGGGAGGCCAAGGCAGGTGGATAACCTGAGGTTGGGAGTTTGAGACCAGCCTGGCCAATATGGTGAAACCCCATTTCTACTAAAAATACAAAAATTAGCCAGGCAGTGGTGGCGTGCACCTGTAATCCCAGCTACTTGGGAGGCTGAGGCAAAAGAATTGCTTGAACCCAGGAGGCAGAGGTTGCAGTGATATGAGATTGTGCCACTGCACTCCAGCCTGGGTGACAGAGTGAGACCCTGTCTCAAAAAAAAAAAAAAAAAAAGAAAGAAAAGAAAACAACAAAGTCAAGAGACAACCACAGAATGGGAGAAAATATTTGCAAACTACCCCCTCTGACATGGGATTAATAGCCAGAATACATAAGGAGCTGAAATGCCTGTATAGGAAAAAATCTAATAATCCGATAAAAAAATATGGGCAAATGATTTGAGTAGATATTTCTCAAAAGAAGACATACAAATGGCAAAACAAGCATATGAAAAGGTGCTCAACATCACTGATCACCAGAGAACTGCAAATAAAAACAACAATAAAATATCATCTCACCTCAATTAAAATAGCTTTTATCCAAAAGACAAGCAACAACAAATGCTGGCAAGGATATGGAGAAAAAGAAACCCTCATACACTATTGGTAGGAATTTAAATTAGTACAACCATTATGGAGAAGAGTTTGGAAGTTCCTCCAAAAACTAAAAACTGAGCTACCATTTGGTCCAGCAATCCCATTGCTAGGTATATACCCAAAATAAAGGAAATCAGTATATCAAAGAGAAATATCTGCACTCCTATGTTTGTTGCAGCACTGTTTATGATAGCTAAGATTTGGAAGCAATCTAAGTGTCCATCAAGGATGAATGGGTAAAGAAAATGTGGTACATATACACCACAGAGTAGTACTATTCAGCTTCAGGCATTAAAAAGAATGAGATCCAGTCATTTGCAACAACATGGATGGAACTAGAGATCATTATGTTAAATGAAATAAGCCAGGCACAGAAAGACAAACATCACATGGCCTCACTTATTTATGGGATCTAAAAATCAAAACAATTGTAGTCATAGGCATAGAGAGTAGAAGGATGGGTGTCAGAGGCTGGGAAGTGTAGTGGGGCCTGGGGGAGAGGTGCTAATGGTTAATGGGTACACAAAAAATAGTTAGAAAGAATAAACAAGACCTACTATTTGATACCACGACATGGGACTATAGTCAATAATAACTGCACATTTTAAAATAACTTAAAGTGTGTAATTGGATTGTTTACAACTCAACGGATAAATGCTTGAGGAGATGGATACCCCATTCTGTATGATGTGCTTATTTCACATTGCATGCCTGTATCAAAACATTTCTTGTACCCCATAAATATAAACACCTAATATGTACCCATAAAAATTAAAAATAAAAAATGTTTAGTATCAAACAACTAAGTGAGGACTTCTATTTCCACATATTAAAACTTAATAAAAAGTTACTGTTTTTAAAAGAATATTATATTAATACAGGGCATAACCAAAGAAGGAGGTACAATTACAGAAAAAAAAAAAGCTTCCAGAAATAGATCTGCACATATGTGTGATCTCAAAAATGACAAAGCTGTTATTTCAAGTCAGTGGGAGAAAGCTGGCTGAGTTAATACATGGTTCTGGAATTGGATTAAACCTATTATAATTCTCTCCCTGGGGCTGTGGAAATTGGCTGCTTCCTCTGAAGTACTTGGCCTTGTAAAAGAAGGTAGACATCTGAATCAAAATCATCTCCCAAATTGCCAGGAAAAAAAAGTGGGTAGTAGGGTAGATTTCAAGTTGGCAATCAACAGCATCTGATACAAGAAACTTTGTATTCAGACTGAACTAATTCCATTACTAAACTGTATGACCTCAAGTAAATTATATTTCTTGTAAAGCTAACCATTTCAGTGAGATTTTCAAAATTATTAATATAAATTTAATTATCTTGTTTTTAATACTTTAATGTTCTCTTTATACTAATTACCTTGTTCTTACAACTTCTGTGTTTTCTCTGTGCTTCTTTAATTCTTCCAGTTTCTCAGACTTTCAAAGTTGTCTCTTGCTTATAGGGCTTTACAAAGAACCCGCTACTTGTTTAATGACCAAATCTAAAGTTCTAATACACAATTTATTAATTTTCTCTATTACTCATAATATTTTCTTTTTATATATTATTTATATATTTTCCGGCATTATGAGATGAAGTCCAATAAATTTTGCCTGCTGTATTCACTATTACCACGCATGTACAGATGTTTAGTCATCTTTGAATAGTTGTTGGAGGGTATGAGTTTGTTTTCCTTCTTTTTTTCTTCTTGTTCTCTTTCTTGAGCAGTGGATTTCTTTAAATATTTAGGATCTGGGGAATATATATACACATATATAGTATATATATTTTATACAACACATACACATATATAATGCCTATACATATGCGATATATGTATATACCTATATAATGTGTATACATATGCATTTGACATTAGTGATATGAATAGCCTATGCACCTGCCACTCTTTTGACATAAACATGTAGCATCCGATTACTGTACCACAATAGTAGGACCCATGAATTTAAAAATCTCCAGTACTCTGATCATTTAGAATGTCAGAACTCCTTCAAAGTGATGTTTGTGGCTTTATATCTGAAATGGGACTAAGCAGCTCTTCCTGAGCCTTTAAATAATAATTACATCACATTCCCATTAGCAATCTTATGATCTCTGGTCCCACTGCAAGGATCTTGGAGTTCAGATTCTAAAATTATTCCAAGGATGGGGGGAAACATATCTTTTTAAAGGTTTTCTACTTTACTTTCATGTAGTAAGTAATTCCTCATATCTATTGGATATTGGCATCATTTTTGTCCTGTCTGTATTTTCTTTCCAGAAACTGCTCACAGATATAGCATACTGATGAGTCCCAGATAATTGGTATTGCCATCGATTTATTTATTTGTTCTTCTGTTTGTTATTTTTGCTCTTAATATCTATGGTCAATTTGGTGGGATTTGGGGGAGAGGCAAGTTTAAGGCATTTGTTCTGTCATCTATTTTGCATTTAATACCTGTTGTTTTGTGAGAAAATAGTTCTCAAACTTCTATAATCACCTGAAAGACACAGATTGCTGGACTTATCCCGCAGAGTTTCTTATTTGGTATGTGTGGGGTGAGGCCTGATAATCTATATTTCTATAAAATTCCCAGGTGATGCCAATGTTGCTGGTTGGGGATTCACATTTTGAGAATCACAGATTTAGACAACTCTTCAAGTAGACTGAGACATCTCTATAAGTAGACCTAAACATATATATATATTCTCAAATTAAACTGCTGGAATCAGAGCTAAAGGCTTCAACAGATGCCTGGATTCAGAGTTATAAGACTGATTCATCTTACTGAAAACTGCATGCTGGCTACCTGTAGCTAAAACAAAAAATAGCAGAAAGTGGTGGTTTAGAAGGAAGGCAGGTTTACATTGCTTTGGGGATTATTTCATTTTCAAACATGCATTTTCAAATGAAGAAAACTAGAATCAGTGAAATTAAGGCACTTTCACAAAGTTGACTCATGAAAATCCAAGTAACACATTTGGGACAGGAGATAAATTAACTGATGTATTTTGTCTTTCCAAATGTAGGATTTTGCAATGAATTAAATAAGTGTTTGAACTTTCCATGCAGGAGGACTATCCTGAATTTTATCAGAAAATTTTTGGGAATTTGAAATTAAGGTTGTCTTCTAATACTCAAAGGGCCTGTCCTCTGTTTGTGCCTGTTTTTACATTTTTGTCTAAGAGCACTTTTGTAAACATGTTAGTGGCAACACTAAGCTTACATGTGCTAATAAATATTCACTCCTCTTGTCTTTTTTTTTTTTTCCGACCTTTTGGCTTTTTTCTTCCTCTGTTTCAGAGAATATGTCCTTATGATTCCTGTCTGGGTCACAGGATTTGTCCTTTTTCCCTGCTGTCACTTAATTGACAGTTTAAACTAGGTTATATTTAAATATTACACATACTGCTTACAATTAAGTTATAATTACAGTGAAATTTAAGCTAGAATCAATATTAAGTATTCACCCAAACCATTGCATTCAACTTGATTAATGATTGCAATTGATGGCTGTGAATTAAGAATGGCAGGGCATTTAAAAGCATTACAATGATCAGCTACACTTAATTTTCACAGCAATACCCTCTTAGAATGCTTCACTTGTAGCCATGGTCCCAGAGTTTAGAGCTCAATCCTAGGATCCAGAAATTGTAATCAGAATTATAAGGCAATTCTATTCTACTCATTGTTTAAAATACCCAAACATAAGAAGCCTAATTTCTTTAAGTTACTAAGAATATTTTGGCTTTATTGACTGAATTACACAAGTATTTTCTCATATCTTTAACTTTCCCCTGAAGCTGTCAGATAATAACGTTTCATAATAATACACATAAGAATAAAGGGGTTGACATGGGGTATGTTAAAACTACCATATTTCAACTATTCAGCAACAAAGTTTATGTTTTACTAAACTGGTTCATAAATAAAATCAAAAGACAGTAATTTATAACCATGCGTTCAAATTTGGGCTTCGCTTAACTCGTCTAATAAGTAGAGGTGAAGGATGAATACAAATATACTATGCCTCAGACTTTAAATTGGCATCCACAGGTGACATACAGCTCAGTGTAATATGACATTTGGAATTATATTTGGTCTTTTTTTTCTCCAATACCAATAGAAAGATTACCTGATTAGTATATGTAAATTAAATTGAATTTTGTATTTACAGTGAATTCAACAGATTTTTAAAGGGAAAGATAATCCAATTTGTCTTAAAAATGAAATTAGATTGAAGGATTGATTTGGTGAGCATACAACCAATATTTTCTGCTGGATATTTCTTTTTCTCTCTCTACTTTTCCAGAGCTGAAAAGATTTCTGGTTTCTTAACTAGCTCTTGTTTTGGCTTTATTCATATCAAAAATGGAAAATAGCCAGTTGTGGAGAAAATGTTGATGGTTTTGCAAGGTACAGGAATGTAGTTTAAAGTTTAGCTACATATAGAGTCAGCTTTTTTCTCTGCCAAAATGAATAAACCTCTCAGTGAGCCTCTGAAGTTCACCTTGAAGTTCATGATGGAGTCAACAGAACATTTAAGCACAAAGGGAAAGTAGAGTAGAAGTAAACAGATTTTTGCCAATTACCAGTTGCAGGGAAACATTATTAATTCTAACCCCACTGAATTGAGACCTTGTAATGTCATTTTAAGTGTATTATTGGGGTGGGGTTAGGAAAGTAAGATATCTTTGCTAGCTGAAAATACTGCCTGGACATTTCAAAATGTTTATAAAGCACTTTCTCTGGCACAGATTGTTAAGGAAATCAAACTGTTTTCAAACACTTAATATAACATCAATCTGCATTTGAAAAATAAGGTAGTTCTGTATTATTACTTTTTAGCAATTGAAAACAGGCTAAAATCTTTCCCATGGATGGCTTCAATCAAAATTCTATATATTCAAAGCAAAAATAAGTAATGTGTAAAAATTCCATGATTACCTAATTATCTTCAAAGACATGTTCAAAAATGGATTAAAAATAAGGATATTTATATCAAAATGCATTTCTGAACAATTCCGTGTATTTTGAAATAACACGCTATTTTTCTTATTGTCTTGTATTATAAAACATTTAAATATATTGTATTATATAATATCAGAAGTATAAAAAATTGAAATGTATTTTATATGTGACAGTAAGTGATATAGTAACTTAGTGATTCTGATATCATATATCTCTTTTGGAATGATGTGAAAATAATATGGTGCCAGCAAATAGCTATTGTGGTTATAAAATAACTAAGCAGAGAATCCAGTGACTGTATCTTAAACTCAGAGTTCTCTAATGTTTGGTCATACTATTGCAAAGGTGCTGAACCAGAAGAACTTGGCTTGCAGAACCAGCGTGAGACTTGAGAACCCTGAGACTGTGCCGTGCCCTGATCCACAAAGCTGTCAATGCGTAGAGTTTTCAGATCTCAGCAAAAGTTCACCGTAAGGTGTCAAGCACTAGGTGTTTGAAATGTATTATTTCTAATATAAGCGCCTAATTAAGTTTTCAAAAACAAAGTCATTTGCAGTTCTCATAGTGTGTACATACATAGTTTATTAAAATTTGCTTTGTGCAATAATGTTTTTAATTTGGTGAAAATATCTGAACATATTTAGGATATTCATTATGACTGAAACAATATTTCCATTTAATAATAAAATACATATTCGTATATTAAACCTAATTTGGGTAACGATATGTACAATAATCCATACTTGTTTTACTAATTCATTATGAATCATATAAGTATTTTAGGAATTGTTTATCATCTGTGATAGCCTCACCCTCCATGATAATCACAAAGACGTGGTGCTTTGCATATAATCACGATGAAACTTTTTTAGATGAGAATATTGACTATTTGTAAATACACCAGCAATAAAATGTTTTTCAGAATCCTTATTAATTTCTTCCTTCTTGATTTAAGGTCCATAAATTACTCTTGTTCACAGAAAGGAATATGTTTTCTAGGACAGTTTAATATTTCAATGGCACTATAACAAGATATCTAATGGTCTCATATGAATAACATGATACCCTTCCTTGGGCTTAAATAACAAACACCAATAGATTGCAATGCATTCACTGACTTGTTGTTTGTTTGTTTAGTAATATGTATTCTTTTTGCATTTTTTGGTCCCTACAACGGTATTTTGGAATTTCTGTTTATAAAGTAATATTTAAACTGTAAGGATTTAAGAAAGTTAAAAGTATTTCCTTTTTCAAAAATTTTAGCAAGGTTGAAAAAAATCTAATTCCATAGAACAAGAAGAAAATTTGCAACTCCCACTAATAATATCATAGAATTTAGAGATTTTTCAACCACAAACTAGGTTTAGTTACCAGGATGGCTACAGGGTAATTCTGAGTAAATTCAAATATCCTGGAATAGTAGGCTAATGACATTATTTATTTTACTTGGCACTTCTATGATAATTTTCGCTTCAAATGAACAATAAAAATATGTCTTTAAATAAATACAGTTACTTAAAAATGATTTCCCCCCTAAAGTTGGCTGAAGGTTTTTTTGCTCGTGTTGGGACTTTTAATTTATTATTAATATTATTTTTGATTGACAAGTCATAATTGTACACACCTATGGGGTACAGTGTGATGTTTTTATGTATGTGTAAAATTAGGCACGAATAAATAGTTAATTAGTATATTCATCACCTAGCTTACCTATCATATTTTTATGGTGACACATTTGAAATTTACTCTTATTTTGAAATATATAATACACCGTTACCTATAGCCACCATGCTGTGAAATAGAACGCAAAGCCTATTCTTCTACTTTAAACTTCGTATCTTTTGATCAATATTTTCCCATCTTCGTCTACCTTTACCCTTCCCAGTCTCTGGTAAGCATTATTCTACTCTCTACTTCTATGAGTACAACTTTATGAGATTGCACATAGAGGTAAGATCATGTGGTATTTGTCTTTCTGTTCCCCATTTGTTTCACTTAGCATAACACCCTCTAGATTCACGCAGCCTGTTGCAAATGATAGGATTTCCTCATTTTGCAAGTCTAATAGTAGTCCTTTGTGTACATATGCCACATTTTTTTAACCATTCATCCATTCATGGACACTTAGGTTGTTTGCTAAGCTTAGCTATTGTGACTAAAACTACAATGAACATGGGAGTGTAGATATTACTTTGATATGTTGATTTTAGTTCCTTTGGATATGTACCCAGAAGTGGGATTATTAGACTGTATGGTAGTTCTATTTTTCATTTTTTGAGGATCCTCTAAACTATCTCCCATATTGGCTATACTAATTTGCATTGCCACCAATAATGTGAAAGAGTGCCCTTTTCTCTCCATCCTCACCAGCACTTTGATAAAAGCCATTCTAACAAGTATGATGTAATCACTCACTGTGAATTTAATTTGCATTTTCCTAATGATTAGTAATGCTGAGCATTTTTTCATGTACCTATTGTCATTTGTGTGTCTTCTTTTAAAAATGTTTATTCAGGTCCTTTGCCCATTTTTTTAAATGGGGTTATTTCTTTTCTTGCTATAAATTGTTTGGATTCTTTATATATTTTGGATATTTACCCCTTATCAGATTTATGGTTTGCAAATATTTTCTCTTCTTCTGTGGGGTGTCTCTTTGCTTTGTTCATTATTCACTTTGCTGTACAGAAACTTTTTAGTTCAATGCCATTTTGTTTTCTTATTTGGGGTTTTGTTGCTTGTGTTTTTGGCCATAACAAAAAAAATCATTGCCCAGGCCAATGTCATGGAGATTTTCCCCTATATATTCATCTAGTAGTTTTACAATTTCAGGTATTACATTTAAGTTCATTTTGAGTTCACTTTTCTATATCACCTAAAATATGGTTCTAATTTCATTCTTCCCTTTATGAATGTCCAGTTTCCTCAATTTCATTTACTGAAGAGATTATTATTTCTCTATTGTGTGTTCTTGGCATCTTTGTCAAAAATAAGTTGACCCTAAATATGTGGATTTACTTCTGGGTTTTTTACCATGTTGATGTGTCTGTTTTTATTTCAGTCCCGTGCTGTGCTGATTACAATCACTTTATAATATGTTTTGAATTCAGGTAGTAGATGTCTCCTGCTTTGTTCTTTTTGGTCAAAATTGTTTTGGCTATTCAAGGCCCTTTATGGTTGATATGTTTTGGGATTTTTTTTTTCCAGTTTCGTATAAAACAACATTGCTGTTTTGATAGAGATTGCACTGACTCTGTAGATTGTTTGGCATATTATTCACATTTTCACAATATTAATTCTTTCAATCCATAAACACAGGCTATCTTTCCATTTATTTGTGTTTACTTCAGTTTTTTTTCATCAATGTTTTACAGTTTTTGGTATACAGGTCTTTCACCGCTGGTTAAATTTACACATAAATATTTAATTTCTTTATTGATATTGCAAATGGGAGAGTTTTCTTAATATTCTTTTCAGATAATTTTTTATGAATATATTGAAATGGTGCTAAATTTTTGTGTTTTTATTTTTATGTTCTGCAATTTTACTGAATTCGTTTATCAGTTCCAATCTTTTTTTTTATGGCGTCTTTAGAGATTTCTATATATAAGATATTTCATCAGCAAATAGAAACAATTCCACTATCTCTTGTCCTATTAAAAATGGCTTTTCTTTCTTTCTCTGGTCTAATGCTCTGGCTAGGACTTTCAGTACTATGTTGGAAAGAAGTAGTGAGAGTAAGCATCCTTTCTTTTCCCTGATCTTAGCGAAAAAGTTTTCAACATTGCACTTTTGAGAATTATGTTAGCCACAGGTTTGTCCTATATGGTCTTTATTATATTGAGGTATACTCCTTCCGGCCTAATCTACTGAGAGTTTATATCATAAAAATTGTTGAGTTTTGTCAATTACTTTTTCTGCATCTTTTGAAATGATCATATATGTTTTATGCTTCAATTTTTAAAGTGGTTTATTACATTTATTGATTTGCATATGTTGTACCATCACTGCATCCCAGGGATAAATTCTACTTTATTTTATGATGATTATGATGAATGATTCCTTTAATGTGTTCTTGAACTTGGTTTATTTACATTTTCTTGATAATTTTTACATCTATGTTCATCAGGGATATTGGCCTATAATTTTATTTTCTTGTAGTGTCCTTGTCTTTGAACTTCAGGTTCAAAGTAATGCTAACCTTGTGATATAGTTTGACTGTGCCCCCACCCAAATCTCATTTTGAATTGTAATTCCCATAATCCCCAAGTGTCATGGGAGGGACCCAGTGAGAGGGAGTTGAACCATGGGATGGTTTCCCCTATGTTTTTCTTGTAATAGTGAGTACATTCTCATGAGATCTGAGAACTTATTTTTATAAGCATCTGGAATTTCGCCTGCTGGCAGTCATTCTCCCTCCTGCCACCCTGGGAAGAGGTGCCTTCCATCATGATTATAAGTTTCCTGAGGCCTCCCAAGCCATGCTGAACTGTGAGACTGTTAAACCTCTTTCTTTTATAAATTAGCTAGTCTCGGGCAGTTCTTTATAGCAGCATGAAAATGGACTAATGTACCTTGTAAAATAAGTTTGGGAGTATTCTTCCTATTTCAAGTCTTTTGGAAGAGAGTAAAAATAATTCTTATTAATTTATCTTGAAATGTTTGATAGATTTCAGTAATGAAGCCATTTAGTCTTTGGCTGTTTGTGAAGGGTGATATTTTGTCGTTGATTCAGTGTGTTTACTTGTTGCTTATCTGTTCAGATTTTCTCTTTCTCCATGGTTCTGTCTTGGTAGGTTGCATGTCTAGGAATTTATTAATTTCTTCTAGATTATCCAATTAGTTGGCATATCATTGTTCATAGAAGTTTTTATAATCCTTCGTATTTTCATGGTACCAGTTGTAATGTCTCTTATTTCTGATAGTATTTGATTATCTTTATTTTTATTCTAGTTAGTCTAAAGTTTTGTCCACTTTGTTTATCTTTTCAAAAAGCCAACTCTTAATTTAGTCGATGTTTCCTCTTTTTTGTTAAGTCGCTATTTCCTTTACTTTTGCTTTGATTTTTGTCATTCCCTTCCTTCTGCTTAGCTGGCTTCATTTGGATTTGGGCTTAGTTTTTTTTTGTTTTTTGTTTGTTTGTTTTTTGTTTTTTTCTAAAACCTTGAGGTTTATCTTTAGATTGTCTATTTCAGATATTTCTTCTTTGTCTCTTTTTATAGTTTTTAATTTAAAGTCTATTTTGTATGACATAAGTATAGTTTTATGTGTACTCTTCAGGTTTTGATTTGCATGAAATTTTTTTTATCCCTTTACTTACAGTCTATGTGTGTCCTTACCACTAACATGGTGCTCCTATAAGCAGCATCTGATGAAATCTTGTTCTGTTAAACCCATTCAGTCACTTTATCTTTTAATTGGAGAATTTAATCTATTTACATTCAAGGAAACTTTTGATAGAATCTTGCTATTGAAATTTTGTAGCTTGTTTTCTGTTTGTTTTCTAGTGTCTTTTTTTCTTTCTTTGTCTTTTTCTGTCTTCCTTTGTTGTTTAATGGTATGCTTTGACTCTTTTATATATTTTATGCAACTACTCTAGATTTTTGCATTGTGGTTACTGTGAGAATTACATATCCTTAAAATAGGCTACTTTAAGCCAATAGCAACTTGCCTTTAGTAACTTTTTACATTTTTACTCCTTCCCCCTACCTCTTATAATTTTGTTACCAAAACTTATATTTATTTTTGTAATATATATCCCTTAACAATTTGATGTAGCTATAGTTAGTTGTTTTTAATCTCTTTTTTCTTGAAGCCGTCTATAGGAATAAAACTGCATTACACACTATCCTTACAGTATTAGAGAAATCTGAGTATAACTACGTATCACTAATAAAATTGAGTTTTTTAACTTTCATTCTTTATTATTAATTAGCATTATTCTGTTTTATCATCTTAAAGGATGTCCTTGAGCAACTCCTGTAAAGCAAGCCCACTGTTAATGAACTCCTATAGCTTTTATCTGGGAAACTTGTTATGTTTCTCTCATTTCTAAAAGACAGCTTGGCTGGGTAAAGTATTCTTGGTTGGCAGTTCATTCTTTCTTCAGCACTTTCTTTTTTAAATTATTTTTTAATTTATACATAATATTTGTACATACTTATGAGATGAATGTGAAATTTTGTTATATGTATGGGACATGTAGTCAAGTCAAAATATTTAGGGTATCTATCACCTCAAGTATTTATCAGTCTTATATGTTGGGAACATTTCAAGTCCTTTCTTCTAGGCATTTTGAAATATACAATACATTTTTATTAACTATACTAACCTTATTGTGCTATTGAATATTAACATTTATTTCGTCTATCTAACTCAATGTTTGTACCTATTTACCAACCTCTCTTCACCCCTTCTCTCACATACAAAACATTCCCAGCCTCTGGTATCTATTATTCTACACTTTATTTAAATAAGATAAATCTTTTAAGCTCCTACATGTAATATGTGTCTTACTGTGCTTAATTTACTTCAGTTACATAATGACCTGAAGTTTTATCTATATTGCTACAAATGACATGAATTCATTCTTTTTTTATGGCACCACACACACACACACACACATACATATATATACATATATGTATGTGTGTGTGTGTATATATATATGTGTGTGTGTGTGTGTGTGTGTGTGTGTGTGTATATATATATATATATTTGTTGTTGTTGTTGTTGTTGTTTTCTGAGATGGAGTCTCGCTCTGTTGCCCAGGCTGGAGTGCAGTGGCATGATCTTGGCTCACTGCGACCACTGCCTCCTGAGTCCAAACAACTCTCCTGCTTCAGTGTCCTTAATAGCTGGGACTACAGTCATATGCCACCATGCCTAGCTAGTTATTACATTTTGGGTAGAGATGGAATTTCACCATGCTGGCTAGGCTGCTCTTGAACTCTTGACAGGTGATCCACCTGCCTCAGCCTCCCAAAGTGCTGGGGTTACAGACATGAGCCACTGCCCCCAGCCAGCCAGATAATATTTAATTGCGTATATATACCAATTTTTAAAATCCAGTTGTCCATTGATGGGTACTTAGGTTGATTACATATCTCCTATACTGTGAATAGTGCTGCAATATAGGGTTGCAGAAATCTTTAACGTACTGATTTCTTTACCTTTGGATAAATAAGCTGTTGTGTGATTGCTGGATTACAAATAGTTTTAATTTATGCTTTTGAGAAATTCCTATATTTTTTTCCATAGTGGCTATATTAATTTACATTTCCAACAACAATGTATAATGGTTCTTTTTTTCTACATCCTTGACAACATCTGTCATTTTTTATCTTTTTAATAATAGGCAATCAATTTGGGGTGAGATTATATTTCATTGTGGCTTTGATTTGCATTTTCCTGATGATTAGTGATGTCGAGTATTTTTTTCATACACTTGTTGCTCATTTGTGTGTTTCCTTTTAAGAAATGTCTATTCATATTTGTTTCCCAGTCTTTAATGGATTTTTTTAACTGTTCAGTTTTTTTAGTTCCTTATATATTCTGAGTATTAGTCCATCATCTGATGAATACTTTGTGATTATTTTCTCCAATTCTACAAGTTGTCTCTACTCTGTTGATTGCTTACTTTGCTGTGCAGAACTTTATAGCTTAATATAGTTCTACTTGTCTATTTTTACATTTGTTATATTTGCTTTTGAGGTCTTAGCCATAAAATCTTTGCCTAGAACAATATTCCAAAGTGTTTTTCTTACATTTATTTCTAGTAGTTTTATAGATTTTGGTTTTACATTTACATTTTAATCTACCTTAAGTTGATTTTTGTATTTGATGTGAGACTGGAGTCCAGTTTCATTCTTCTGCATATGAATATCCAATTTTTTTCAGCATTGTATGTTGAAAAGGAAACCTGTTCCCCAATGTATGCTCTTGGCACCTTTGTTGAAAATCAGTTAGCTGTAAATAAGTGGATTCTTTAGCTGGGGCATTCTATTTTGTTCCATTGGCCTTTGTGTCTATTTTTATGCCAATAGCATGCTATTTTGGTTACTACAGATTTGTCATATATTTTAAGGTCAGGTAGTGTGATGCCTCCAGCTTGGTTCCTTTTTGCTCAGAATTGCTAAATTGCTTTGGCTACTGGGGCCCCTCTTCAGTTCTGTATTAATTTTAGAATTGTTTTTTCTATTTCTGTGAAAAAATGTCACTGGTATTTTCATAGGGATTGCACTGAATCTGTAGATTGCTTTGGGCAATACGGTCATGTCAATGACGTTAATTCTTTTAGTCCATGAACATGTAATGTCTTTACATTTATTTTTGTCCTCTTCAATTTCTTTAATTAAAGTTTTGTAGATATCCTTGTAGAGGTCTTTTACCTCCTTGGTTTAATTTATTCCTAGTTATATGTTTTTGTATTTATTATAAATAAGATTTTCCTCTTGATTTCTGTCTGTTAGTTCATTATAGGTGTATAGAAGTGCTACTCACTTGTGTATGTTGATTTTGCATCCTGCAACTTTACTCTTCATCTATTGGATCTAAGAGTCTTCTAGTGGAGCCTTTAGATTTTCCTAAATATAAGATTATGTCATCTGAAAAGTGGAACATTTGACTTCTTATTTTTCAACATGGATACCCTTTATTTATTTATCTGCCTGATTGTTGTGACTAGGACTTCTGGTACTATGTTTAATAGAAGTGGTGAAAGTGGGCATTCTTGTCTTATTCCAGTTGTTGAAGGAAAGGCTTTCAGCTTTTCCCTATTTGGTAGAATTTTCAGTTTGGGTTTATTATATATAACCTTTTTATGTTCTTTCTATGTCACATTTGTTGAGAGTTTTTATCTAGAAGAAGGAAGGTCGAATTTTATAAAATGCTTTTTCAGCATCTATTGAGATGTTTATGTTTTTTGTCCTTTATTCTGTTGACATGATGTTTCACAGTTATTGATTTGTATGTACTAAACTATTGTTACATTCCTTGGACAAGTCCCTCTTGCTTATAGTGTATTATCTTTTTCATGTACTGTTGAATTTGATTTGCTAGAATTTCATTGAGAACTTTTGTGTCTTTGTTCATCAGACATTGACCTGTAGGTCTCTTTTTTGTTGCATTTTTGTCTGGTTTTAGTATCAGGATAATTCTATCCTCATACAGTAAGTTAGAGAAAACTTCCTCTTCTTCAAGTTTTTGGAACAGTTTGAGAAGAATTCCCATTAGTTTTCCTATGTAAGTTCAAAAGAATTCAGCAGTGGTGCTATCCGGTACTGATCTTCTTCAATGGGAGATTTTTAAATTATTTATTAAATATCATTACTTATTATTGGTCTGTTTAGGTTTTCTATTTCTTTCCATTTCAATTTTGAAAGGTAATATTTGTCCAGAGTTTTATTTATTTTTTTTTAGGTTTTCCATTTTTTGGTGTATAGTTGTTTGTACATGGGTTAATGATCTTTTGTATTTCTCTGGTATAAGTTGTAATGTCTTCTTTTTTTTGTTTCTGATTTTATTTATTTAGGTCTTCTTTCTCTTTTTAGTTAGTCTAGCTAGGAGTTTACCAACTTTATCTTTTTAAAAGAGTAACTGTTGCATTGATGTTTTGTATTTTTTTTTAGTCTGTATCTTGTTTAGTTTTGCTCTGATTTTTATTATTTCTTTCCTTTGACAAATTTTAGGTTTGGTTTGTTCTTGCTTTTCAAGATCCTTGAAGTGCATCATTTGATTGTTTACTTGAAACCTATTTTATATATAGGCACTTGTCTCTATAAAGTTTGCTTTTAGAACTGCTTCTGCTATCACATATGTTTTGATATGTTGTATTTTGGTTTTTATTGTTTCAAGAATTACTTTGATTGTCTTATTATTTTCTTTTTTAACTCATTGGTCATTCAAAGACCATATTGTTTAATTTACATTTATTTGTATACTTTAAGGAGTTCCTCTTTTTACAGACTTCTAGTTTTGTTGCATTTTGGTCTAAAAAGGTATTCAACAAAATTTTAATTTAAAAAAAATTTGTTGAGAGTTTTGTGTCCTAACATATGATCTATTCTAAAGAGTTTTCCATATGCTGATGAGAAAATGTGTATTCTGTAGCTATTGGAATAAGTGTGCTGTATATATTAGGCCTATTTCATCTACAGCGCAGTTTAAATCCAATACTTCTTTATTATTTTTCTATCTAGATGACTTGTCTAATGTTGACAGTGGGGTTTTAAAGTCTCCAACTATTATTGTGGAGTCAGTCTCTCTATTTAGATCTAATATTTTCTCCATGTATCTGGGTGCTCCATTGTTGGTTGCAAATATGTTTTAAATTGTTATGCCCTCTTACTGAATGTATCCCTTAATACTTATATAATGATCTTGTCTCTTTTCACTGTTTTCATTTAAGGTCCATTTTATCTGATATAAGTATAGCTACTTCTGCTCATATTTTGTTTTTGTTTGCATGGAATATCTTTTTTCATCCCCCTTTTTTTTAGTCTATATGTGTCTTTATAGAGGTGAGTTCCTTGTAGGCAGCATACAGTTGGATCTTTTTTTTTTTTTTTTAAATCCATGGAGCCAGTCCATATTTTTTAAGTGGAAAGTTTGATCTATTTACATTCAAGGTTATTATTTATAGGTGAGGACTTATTCCTGTTATTTTCTTAATTGATTTCTGGTTGTTTTGTATTTTTAAATTCTTTTTCTCTCTTATTTATCTTTATTTAATAAATTATTTATTTTCTTGAGAAAGAATCACATTCTGCCTCAAGGCTGGAGTGCAGTGGTGCAATCTCGGCTCACTGCAATGTCTGCCTCAATCTTTCAAGCTATTTTTTTGCCTCAGCTTCCTGTGTAGCTGGGACTACAGGCAGACACCACCACACCTTGCTTTTTTGTATTTTCCCTTTTAGTAGGGACAGGGTTTCTCCATGTTGGCCAGGCTGGTATTGAACTCCTGATCTCAGGTGATCCACCCACCTTGGCATATGGTTTGGTGGTTTTCTGCAGTGATAACACCTGAGTCTTTTCTTTTTCTCATTTGTGTATTTGCAGTGGGTTTTATACTTTCATGTGTGTTTATGATTGTAGAAATCATCCTTTTACTTTCACATGTAGCACACCCTTAAGCATTTCTTGTAGGACTGGTCTAGTTAAGATGAATTCTACTGGCTTTTGCTTGTTTGGAAAATATTTTATTTCTCTTTCATTAAAAACAGTAACTTTGCTGGGTATAATTGGCTGACAAGTTTTTGTTTTTCTTTCAGCACTTTGAATATATCCTCCTACTCTCTTCTGTCCTTAAGGGATTCTGCAAATAAATCTCACAGCTGTGTTGGGACTCCTTTAAATGTAATACAATTATTATATCTTGTTTCTTTCAGTTTTTTGGCTTTAAGTTTTCAAGATTTAAGTCTGATGTGTCTTGGTGTATTTGGATTGTATTTCACTGATGAACACTGAACTTCTTGTACCTAAATGTTGTTTTGTCTCCCTAGATGTAGGACATTTTCAGCCACTATTTTTTGAAGTATGCTTTGTACACCTTTTCCTTTCTCTTCTCCTTCAGTTACTTCTATTATGCCAAGGTTATTTCATTCTGTGTCTCATAACACCCCTAGACTTTCTTCATTCCTTTTATTCTTTCATTATTTTTCACCTCTGATTGAATCACTCTGTCTTTGAGCTCACTGATTCTTTCTTTTGGTTGGTCAAGTTCGCTGTTCAAGCTTTCTGTTGAATTTTTTCAGCTTAGTTATCATATTCCTTATCTCCACAAATTCTATTTGGTTATTTTTTTCTATTTATATATCATATTTCTCATCTTGTTAATGAATTATTTATCAAATTTTATTTAATTTTCTATTTATATTTTCTTATAGTTCCCTTAATTTCTTTATAATTTTTTAATGTTTTTCTCTGGGTCTATCACTGGAGTTTTATTAGTTTCTTTCAGTGGTGTCATATTTCTCTGTTTGTTCATAATCCTCATGTCCTGACACTGATGCTTGTTTGTTTGAGAATACGGTCCCTCTTTTGGTCTTTGTAAATATTCATAGATGGTGCTAGATCTTTACTATTTAGTTTTGCCTGGAATTCTGGAAGGAATAGCTGGTAGCAATCTCATACAGATAGATCTTTGTGCTGGGTTGTGTAATTGTAGTGGTACACTTTCTATGCTATGAAATTAAATGGTATTGCTGACTGTATTCCATGGTCTGGCGAAGACTGCTAGCTGAGCTCTGTGATTCTTTCTGTTCAGGTAAAATCACAGGTTGTCCTCACTTTCCAAGTGGTACTATTGTTTGAAATCTGTAGTGAGGCAGGGCTGTGTAATGGACTCTGAGATAAGGTGAGGTCTCTTGGATTTTCGCTTAGCTACACGGGATGAGCAAGGCCAGAGGCTGTGCTCCACAGATATGTGTGGACTTGGGCTTGCCTCTCAGCCTGTGGTAAGCTTAAGCAGAACACTGAGGTTTGGTGGAGTCACTGCTCTGAAGCTAAAGTTGGGTGACTTGCAGTTACTTCTCAGTCTAGGAAAGACAATGCAAGTCCTGGAGCTTAACTGGATCACCTCACCACCACTATGGTTGGGTGGGACCAGATGATTTATCCATGGGTAATCACTGGCCTGTGGTAGCTTAATAATTATTGGATTGTGGCTTTTCTTGATTTTGCAATCTAAAAAGATGTCTCTTTCTCACTCCCAATTTCTGGGATACTGATTATGTTATTCTTGCCTGTAAATAGTTGCTAGTTATATTTATGTGTAGGACTTCAGGAGAAGTGAAGAACTCCAATTCCACCATCTTGTTGTCATTATTCCAGAAATTTGGCTAAATTTTTAAAGCATTTTTTTTTCCTGTGAGTCAAAAGCATTTTCTACATCATGTCAAAAAAATATTACTTGCAGTAGCATCATAACAAAATAAATGAAAATTGAGGCAATTATTAGTGTTTATAGACTATAAACCATGTTCAGACAAAGAAAGAAAGAATAGATTTACTATTTGATGAAGAGAGTGTATTGTTAATAGCTAAGAAAAAAATGAAAACTATGTAGCAAATTTTACACCTGTGTTCTCCAGTTACAAACACTAGAAAGAGCAGAATGAATAAAGCAAAAGTAAAACTTAGATGAAGAAAGTATAAAAACTCATGTAATTGTGTAGATTAGATTAGGACACTAAACTCAGTAAATATATTCTGCAATGTCATTGAATTCATAGGTGTAATTTCAGAACACCTGTCAGTAATCCCAATAAAATCATAAAAAAGGGAAAATATGCCATAAGACTAATGATAGGTAAAAGCTTTCAAAATAAAGAGAAGAATATAATTCAGAAATGGCAGGTAGATTTGGAGAAAAATTTAGAGCAGATTGTGTGTTTACAAAAGTTTTATTAGCATCACTAGAGGTGTGGTTTCAAAGGAAGAAAAAATATGAGAGATATTCAAGATTCAATAGGATGTCATTCAAATGAATACAGACTTGTTGCCTAAAGCTAAAGAAATGCAGACTCCACTGAGGAATCAATAAGTTTGCTAAGTATAAATAGGTTTTGAAGAATTTCATCTAACTATGTCAGACTAAAGAATGCCATATAAATGATATGCAGATTTGGAGACCCTGTTGTCTATAGAATGTCAATATATAACAAAAGAAGCATCCTGAGTAGAAGTAAACTCCAATCTTTAATAAATAATGTCAATAATGTGAAATTATCTTTTCAAACCCTACTACATTTTAAAATTAAATATAAAAAATAAAATAAATTATATCTAGAGGTCCAATGCCAGTATATTCACAGATTTTTAATGATCAAGATTAGTCCTAGAAGGGCCGGGCATCATGGCTTATGCCTATAACACCAGCACTTTGGGAAACTAAGTTGGGAAGATCTTTTGAGATCAAGAATACAAGACCAGCATGGGTAACATACTGAGATCCCATCTCTAATATAGTAATAAATAAATAAGAATTGATCTGTTAAGTAATCTATTTTAATTTGAATTAAAATATACAATTGTTGGATTGGGATTTCTGATTATGTCAGTTAAGAGTATATTTGTTGATGTTTGTACATACCACTGGGATAATTAAAATATCTGTATTGATAATATGTACTTATGTAATTCGTAATATTACATGAGCTATTTAAGGCTTTGGAATGTTTTTCTTGTTAGGCTGCTGGTTATTCCTGTTTAGCACTTCAATTTATTACAAAATAAGTTGTAATAAATAAATAAAATAAAATAATAAAAATAAAACTTATATTAAAGTTGAAATGCATGAAAATGTTTATAGATATTTGATAAACTAAGTAAATACATGGGACTAATTCTTTATAAAATGAGTTTAGTTTGTGCAACAAAAATTAATTTTGTATTACTATAAAATGATATAGTTTTTTCTATTTTACTGTACATAAACATAGTATAATAACATATATAATTTGAACTTAAAAGTTTAAAAAACTAAATTTCAAATTTTACATGTAATGAATTAATGTTGATTTATTCCAAGGGAAACTATTAACCTTTCTGGCACATAGAGTCATTTTTCCGTCTTCAGAAGTTCACACAGGAAGATTGGTTCGTAATTGCTCTTCACCATAAAGATTGAAAATATCCGACAATTAAAAAATCAGATAAAATATATAAAGCAATAATTTTTCAATATTGGAAAACAAACACCACAAGGCTGTAATCTGAGAGAAGAGAAATGAATGTACTGAGTTCTACAATGCCCCAGCTTGTTAGTTATAGAGAGTTTCCAGTTGAAATTCTGATGGTCTTACTGAGTTGAGCATACAGAGATGAGAATTTGGGAAGTTCAAGGCAGCTAGAATCTGGGGATCATATGGGCATGGTGGTCCTAGCCTGTAATCCCAGCTACTCGGGAGGCTAAGGCAGGAGAATCGCTTGAACTCAGGAGGTGGAGGTCGCAGTGAGCAGAGATCACACCACTGCACTCCAGCCTGGGTGACAGAAGGAGATTCTGTCTCACAAAAACAAACAAACAAACAAACAAAAAAGGTATGCAGGTCAAAAAACAATCAAATTTAGTTCAAATTCATCTAAAAAAGTAAAAAGAGCACCTTTAAAAAATGTTTTTCCATGAATACCTGATAACCATTATCAATAAGCAAGGTTTTTTTCTTCAGGAGAAATCCATACAGATTTTATGGGAGAGCACATATTTTGTTTTAAGAGATAACATGCCTTAGCATTAAGTTGTTTAATAATAAAATGAGCTGTCTTTTGAAATCTTACTAGTGATATTTTTCCAGTACAGGCAGGATGCCTTCTCTAGGAAAAGTATTGTTCTATGAAGAAATAATTCATGCAAAGGTATGGTAGTATATAATACACTGAATATTTAGAAAATAGAAAATGCTAATGGATAGCTTAATCACATATTCTAGTGCCAATGGAAAGTGCTCAGAGATTTTGCTATCACAATGAAGACCTGAGACATATATTGGCATTCTAACTAAATCCTGCTATTATGACATAGAGTGTTATAGACCTACTAAGTAGTCCTACTCGAAATAATTCCAGGCAGTGACAAAATTTGGTAAAATTTGTTCAAAATCAACATTAAGGGCTACCATCAGTTGGTTCTCTAGCAAAAAAAGGAAGAATAAAATCATACAGCTAAAATTAATGAAACATTTATACCAACTATTATGCTTGACATATTTTATGTAATTTATACATTCTTTTTAATAAGGTAAAAAACAAGCACTAAATCTTGGAGAAGCACATAAATTTACCAAAACAATTCTGCCTCTCAGATCTAGCTTAATTCTATTTTACTTCTGGCAGAAAGTCATACTATTCTTCATCAGTTGAGCCAAAATGGGTATATTTTCTTGGGACATCCACAGGAAAACAATACTGTTTAATTCTTTTAACACAGAGGTTTTTTTCAATAACTTTTTCTTTTGGCTCAAGACCCTGGTCTCTCCTACCATAAAGAGATACAATCCTCTAAACCTTTATCAGTAATTGGCTTTTTGGTATAAATGAAGGCTAGAAAGGCAAGTTTAGATAAAGGAGACTGGGAAAGAAAATTTATGTCACCAGATGGCTGAATCAGAGGACAAAATTGAAGTCCACAGTTAGAAAGGATGGATATGGGACAGAAGAGGAAACCTGAGAAACACATGGAAACTGCTTTAAATATTTGTCTTAAATATTGCTGTTCATTATTTTTCAATTATCTGTATGACATTCTATAAAATTATAATCATGTGTTTTGAGTTAACACCATTCTCACAGGCAATACAAGTATTGAAGCTCCTAATTCTTTCCCAGAAAGTCTTGAATATGAGATTGTAGGATGAATGTATAAAATACACTACTCCTATAAAATGTAAATCTAGTAACCAGAAGTTGTGCCTTTTGTGGGGAGGTACCTCGTATATATTTATTTTTCAATTAATAGGAAGAATTAAATGTATTTAATGTATACAATATGATGTTTTGAAGTACATATACATTGTATTAATAGAATGGCTATATCTAGTTAATTAATACATACATTACATCACATAGTTATCCTGGGTTTTAAATTTTTTTTTTAGTGAGACCACTTTATATCCACTCTTTTAGCATTTTTCAAGAATACAATATATTATTAATTATAATCAATTTATTGCAGCATTTTTCACAACAGCCAAGATATGGAATCAAACTAAGTGTCCATCAAAGGATGAATGGATAAAGAGAATGTGCTATATATACACAATGGAATACCACTCAGCCATAACAAAAAGATATCGTTTGTGACAACATAGATAAACCTGAAGAACACTACACTAAGTGAAATAAGCCACGCACAGAAAGACAAATGTTGCATGATCTCACTCATATGTGGAATCTGCTACCATAAAGAGATACAATCCTCTTGTAGAAGTACAGATTAGGATGATCCTTACCAGGGGCTGAGGAGGTTGAAGGGAGGCCAGGATTTGGGGACATATTGGTCAAAGGGAGATGCCTTTTCAATAAGAGTTGATTCTTGATTTCTTTTTTTATACATGAACACATGATGTCAGAATTTCCTTCTAAAACAAATAAATAAATAAACATATTTAAGTAATCTCAAAGAGAAATCTAGTATTGGTCTTTATTTCACTTGTGATGGTTAATTTTATATCTTATGTTGCCTTGTCTATAGTGCTCAGATGTTTGGTGAAACACTAGTCCGATGTTGCTGTGAAGGTATTTTAAAAATGTGATTAACATTTCAATCAATAGACTTTGAGTAAAGCAGATGACCATTCATAATGTGGGTGGACTTCATTTATTCAGTTAAAGATGTTAAGAAAAAAAGACTGAGGTCTCCTGAAAAATAAGAGATTCTGCCTCCAGACTTCATTCAGACTTAAGACTTCAACTTTAACTCTTCTCTCTGTCTTCAGCCTGCTGAGCTGCCTGGAGGTTTAAGATATGCCAATGCACAATTGCACAAGACAATTTATTAAAATCTCTCTCCTTATCTCTGTTGGTTTTTCTCTCTCTTTTTGTGTGTATTTAAAACACAGACCCATGAAACATACAAACTACTGTTTCTGTTTCTCTGGAGAGCCCTGACTAATACAATAACTCTATTAGAAAAGGCATAATTTGGTTTTCTTGTATCCATTGCTTAGGCCAGCTGCAAGCATATTATCATTGTACATACATCAAGGATGCAGTGAACTTGAAATAAATTCTGAGTAACCATATGATATGATCTCTGGGTAGCTCAGTCACTTTTATTAAGTGACAACTACTGCCTTTATTTATTTATTTATTTATTTATTTTCCTTACGGAGATTTTTTTTCTTCTGTACAATATAGTTGTTTATGTTCTTTTCTCCAATTTTTAATTTTCACTCAAGTTAATGCATCCTAAGAAAACCACTCTTTTAGGTTTATGCCTAATACCTGTCTCCATAGGACAATTTAATTTGCAATTTAGGACTCTATGTCTTTTATTCAATGAACAAAAAGCATTTGTAGAGTTTTTAATTCTTAAATATGAACAAATAAAGGGGCAAAAATAAGTGCATTTCAACCTTGCCAGGAATATAACACATCCACAGCTTTGGGATAGTACATGTCTCAAGCTGAGTCTTGTGCAAATAGGAAACTTTTAAAGCTATTTATTATTTTAAATGCACTTATTTATATAAAAATTAAAAAGCATATGATATGAGTTGGCTGTGTCCCCACCCAAATCTCATCTTGAATTATAGCTCCCATAACTCCCATGTGTCCTGGGAAGGACCTGGTGGGAGGTAATTAAATCATGGCAGCAGCAGTTTTCTCTCATGCTGTTTTTGTGACAGTGAATAGGTTTTACAGGATCAGATGGTTTTATAAGGGGCTTTTCCCCTTTTGCTCATTCTTCCCTTGCCTGTTGCCATGTAAGACATGACTTTGTTCCTCCTTTGCCTTCCACCATGATTGTGAGGCCTCCCCAGCCATGTGGAACTGTTAATTTATTAAACCTCTTTTTCTTTATAAATTACCCAGTTTTGGGTATGTCTTTAAAGCAGTGAGAGAATAGACTAATAAAGTAAATTGGTACTGGGTAGTGGGGCTCCACTGTAAAGATACCCAAAGATACGGAAGTGACTTTGGAACTGGGTAACAGGAAGAGGTTGGGAGAGTTTGGAAGTCTCAAAAGAAGATAGGAACATAGGGGAAAGTTTGGAGCTTCCTAGAGACTTGTTAAATGCTTTGAACAAAATGATGATAGTGATATGGACAACAGAGTCCAGGCTGATGTGGTTTCAGATGGAGATGAAGAACTTGTTGGGAACTGGAACAAAGGTGATTCTTGCTATGCTTTAGCAAAGAGATTGGTGGCATTTTGCCCCTGCCCTAGAGATCTGTGGAACTTTGAACTTGAGATAAATAATTTAGGGCATCTGGTGGAGGAAACCTCTAAGCAGCAAAGCGTTTGAGAAGTGACTTGGGTGGTCTTAAAAGCATTCAGTTTTATTCATTCACAAAGATATGGTTTGGAATTAGAACTTATGTTCAAAAAGAAAGCAGAGGGTAAAAGTTTTGAAAATTTGCAGGTTGATGAAGTGATAGAAAAGAAAAACCCATTTTTCTGAGGAGAAATTCAAGCCCACTGCAGAAATTTGCATAGATAACAAGGAGCCAAATGTTAATTGCCAAGACAAGGGGGAAATGGGAAATAGGCACCTGGAAAAAAACCATGCACCTGGAAAAGCCACAGACACTCAGCACCAGCTGTGAAAGCAGCCAGTAGGGGGGCTGTACGCTACAAAGTCACAGAGGCAGAGCTGTCCCAGACCATGTGAACCCACCTCTTGCATCAATGTGCCCTGAATATGAGACAAGGAGTCAAAGGAGATCATTTTGGAGTTTGAAGATTTGACTGCCTTGCTGGATTTCAGACTTGCATGGGGCCTGTAGCCCCTTTGTTTTGGACAATTTATCCCATTTGGAAAGGGTATATTTACCCAACTCCTGTATCTAGGAAGTATCTAACCCATTGTATCTAGGAATTAACTAACCTGCTTTTGACTTTACAGGTTCATAGGCAGAAGGGACTTCCCTTGTCTCAGATGAGGACTATGGAATTTTGAGTTAATGCTGAAATGAGTTAAGACTTTCGAGGACTATTTGGAAGGCATGATTGGTTTTGAAATGTAAGAACATGAGATTAGGGAGGGGCCAAGGGCAGAATGATATGGTTTGGCTTTGTCCCTACTGAAATCTCATCTTGAATTGTAGCTCACATAATCTCTGCATGTCATGGGAGGGACCCAGTGGGAGGTAATTGAATCATGAGGGTGGGTTTTTCCTGTGCTATTCTTGTGATAGTGAATAAGGCTTACAGGATCTGATGGTTTTATAAAGGGCAGTTCCCCTGCACACACACTCTTGCCTTTGCTTCTCCTTTGCCTTCCACCATGATTGTGAGACCTCCCCAGCTACATGGAACTGTGAGTCTGTTAAACCTCTTTTTCTTTATAAATTACCCTATCTTGGGTATTTCTTCATAGCAGTATGAAAATGAATACAGCATATAATAAAATAAATCTGTACATAAATGCCTAAAAACAAACATAAATTTCATCTCACCATTCAAACCATTTTTTCAGGACCATTTCATGTAGGTGTTAGAAAAATTTTAGTATATCATTATAGAAAAAAATGTATATACATATACCAGCATACATATACATCATATTTGGACGAATGAAAGCATACTACTCCACATACTACTTTATGTCTTGATTTTTAATGTAATAAAAAATATATGTTTACTCATGAAATTGTCACAACAACATTATGAGATAATTACCATGATCTATCTCCCCAGACAGATGAAGAAAATAAAATTCCTAGCAATGAGATGTTCAGTAACTTGCTCAAGGTCTCAAAGCTTTTATGAGGCAGAGTTATAGTTTAAGAACTAACATTCTTGACTCCACTGTCTGTGTGCTTAACTCATTATAATGTCTTAGTGATCATTCTCCATCAAAAAAATATAGCTTTAAACATTATTTTTTAATGATCATATGGTTTCAGAGATAATTTTTGAATAATTGATTATTTTCACAAGTTATTCAATAAAAGTATTTAGCATTGTCAGCATCCTTATGGTGGAGCAATAGGAATGAGATACCACCTGAGAAACTTATCAAGTTGACTTTCTAACTTGGTTACAATTGTTCTAACTTAATTAAATCTAACTTAGTTAAATCTAGCATCTAACTTAGTTAAATTGATTGTTGATGTTAGCTGTCTCAACATGTTTTTAAATGACTAAGTTGGACAAAGTTTGTAAAATAGGAGTAGAATCTTCCTTAAGTGTCTCAAGGTGTACCCTTAGGATGGTGGGTCAGAGAGTGCCCATACAGTTGCTTGCTGTTTTCTTCTAGTTGTTTATATTGTGACTATCACAGTGACCTTTTCTACAAACTATGAAAAGCTATTTCAAATTAAACCTCCTGGCCAACTGTCCTCTTCCTTCAGATGAGGGCTTCAGACCCAAATCTGAGGTGTATGGTAAGAAACTGTAGATAAAGCTATCTTGCATATGAAGATTTTTCTCTAGTTGAAGGCTTAAAGAAGACAATCGATGCTCTGCTTGTTTAAAATATTCTGTCAAAAACTTTCAAAAATGAGCCCCAAAGTTACCTTTTCATCTTCAACAATACCTATCTTAATGGTTATCTTTGTTCGGATAAGATAAAATGGAGTTTAATTTTCTTTTCCTCGGCAAAAATAATGAGAACAACCCAAAAGTTGCTTTAAATTTACTTATGGTGAATAAAATAAAACTTTATGCAAAATATAATGGGTATAGTAAAGTAAATTGCTAAGGCTGACACAGTTCTCAGAAAGCCAAAGTATTCCCTAGCTTGTTCTCTCCCACATGGGAAGGGTGGTAGGCTCCTAATAGAAGAGCTGAGGAGACACAGCATTTTGCCAATTATTGCTTTTCATGTTTCATTTAATTTCTTACTACCAGATTTAATAAATTCAAATTATTCTTCAAATTCTGATTTTTTAGAATAGTAATTATACTTTATATTAAAATCCTTTATAAGTTGAATATTAAATGTATTACCCTTTCTCCACATTCTCCAACTTTTCTTTCCCTAAACATGTATTGCTTTTCTAATAAGAAGCATGCACCACCTTGCAAATATTTCAAAGTATTTGAAAGTGGCATCTCAAGATTAATAAATAGTCCTTAGAGAGTGTACTTTTGACAGATAAACAGCTATGGAATCTCTAATAAGCACAAACATATTTTGCATTTGATATTAACTTTAGTACAGTTACTCCATAGCATAGTTCAAAGCTACAGAAAAAATAACCATTTACTTTAATAATGTTCTAAAAATACAAACTAATACTCCAGAAGATACACTATTGTTCTTTCTACTTTTACTATAGCTGTGCATAAACTCACCTGTTTATGGCAGATTAATATTATACAAGAAAAATGTAATGTTTAAGAAATTTACAGGTCGAGAATATTTTTAATCCAATTTTTATATGTGTTCTTTAACTTTTTGAATGCTATATATTTTTTTGAACTGATAAAATATGTATTAATGGTATACTTCCACTCTCAAAAGACTTTATCTCTAAACGGGGAATACAAATCTTTTAAAGAAATGACATTTTACCAAAAAGCTTGATCTTTCGTGACATACCATCTAACTCTCACATCGGGTGTAATTTACCAAATTGGTTTGAAGGCATTTCAGAAAAGTACAGAAGCCATGGTCTGCATTACTGATGGATTTATCCAAGTACTTGATAGTCCATTAGGAGAATGATTCATCTGAAAGCAAGGGCAGACCAATATCCACACAGCGCTTCAAACACACAACCAATTTGAGAAGCAACCAGACAGCTGTTTCCTACTTAGAGTCTGCCTGCGACCACATAAGTAATGCTTCAGATTTCCACTTCTACCAAGATTGTATTTGCTACTTTAAAAATTGCTATTTCCCCTTGAAGAGATGAATGTCACTCATCCTGTTATTAGAAGGAAGCTAAGGATTATCCAATTCAGTGAAAAGAGGCATGGAGGTAGGGGGAAAAGAAGTGCTTGGATACAAACAGCAGTATTTGAACTAATGAATCAAAAATGCCTGCAATGTCTTAGATGATATTGTTATATATCTTAATTCACAGTACTCAAAAAACCCTATATCTTTTTGCCTGTACTCTATTTTTCCAGGTGTTTACACAGAATCTTAAACTTTCACTTTTATAATAGCCCATAATCATACTACATGATCAGGTAGCCCTACAAATACAGTTACAGATAATTGCAGTTGTATTTGTATTAAGTGCTAAGATATTTATTAATGCTCAATGATGAGTAAATCATGAACAAAGTACTCTCAAATTTTATTTTTAGCTTTTGAATTACAAGTTTCAAAAGAAAACATAGTGATCCATATTTTATTTTAATGATCTAATAGCCTCCTTTTCTTGCAATTTACTTATCCCTAGCTCTAAATCTTGTAAATTTCTGACTATAGGTTTGTATGGACTCACTTCCCACAACTCTTCAAGTAATTCCAAAGTTGACTGAACACTATGCCACTGTGTTTCCCACCTCCAGTATGTATATTCATATGGCAGGTTATGTGAATGGTGTCCCTCGGAGCTACGCAAGGCACAGTCCTTTATATAGACTGCAATTGGAATATGCCTTCTGGATTTGTACACTAGTCATGGCTAGACTAGGGGTATGGCTAGACTCATCACACCTTTTTTTTTTCATCAGTTCTGCTTATGTTACATGTCCTGTGCCAGTAACCTTACCCCTAAACTTACAGGTTACCTAAGGAAGTAAAACCCTCTTTATTTCAATGCTCAAGTTAAAGATTGCCATGTCTGTTAAGCACACCTGATAAAGCTATGTTCTCTTCTGTGCTTCCATGGCCATTTGCTCCTACAGGAGGTATATTAGTCCGTTCTCACACAACTATGAAGAAATGCCCGGGACTGGGTAATTTATGTAAAAAAAGGTTTAATTGACTCACTGTTTCGCATTGCTGGGCAGGCCTTGGGAAACTTACAATCCTGGTGGAAGGCAAAGGAGGAGCAGCCATCTTCTTCACAGGGTGTCAGGACAGAGAGACTGCCAGCAGGGGAAATGCCAGACACTTATAAAACCATCAGAATTCATGAGAATTCACTCATTATCATGAGAACAGCATGGGGAAAACTGCCGACATGATCCAATTACCACCACCTGGTCCTGCCCTTGACACATGATGATTATGGGGCTTATGGGGAGTACAATTCAATATGAGATTTTGGTTGGGGACACAGCCAAACCATATCAGGAGGTCAGCATTTCCTGTACTGCTTTGTCTGTAGGTGTATGTTGCATGTGTGCTTTAGCCTTTCCTACTTCAGAATGAGATATTTCAGGACAGGGATCTTATGACTTGTTACTCTTTGAACAAATATGTCATGGTTCCTGCTACATGGTTGGGCTAGAAATTGTTTGCTGAATTAATTTCAATAAGCTGAGAGTTCTTACAAGACAGGTGAAAGTACTTCAAAAAACCCATTAGCCTGTAAGGTTTAAAGGAAATATCTCAAAACATCTACTTAAAATTTCATTCTTAAAAGGCATTCAGGTGCAGTGGCTCATGCCTGTAATCCCAGCATTTTGGGAGGCCAAGGCAGGTGGATCACGAGGTCAGGAGTTCAAGATCAGCCTGGCCAACATGGTGAGACCCCGTCTCTACTAGAAATACAAAAATTAGCCAGGCGTGGTGGCAGGCGCCTGTAATCCCAGTTACTTGGGAGGCTGAGGCAGAGAACTGATTGAACCCAGGAGGTGGTGGTTGCAGTGAGCCGAGATCGCACCACTGCACTCCAGCCTGGGTGACAGAGCAAGACTCCGTCTCAAAAAAAATAAATAAATAAAATTAAAAAAAATAATAAAAAAGTCATTTCGGACTTCAGAAAACATCGATTCTGTTTCATTTATTTTATTGAAGTCACTCCTTGCACAATATCAAATACAGAATTACCAGACTCATAACCAGGTTCCCTGGAGCAATGCTTCCCTATCTCCCTGCTTAATTACTCCTTCAATGGTCACAGCAATGCAAAACTAAACCCACAAAACTTACATAATTCTCTTTTTTAGTAATCCTTGCAAAGACTAGGCCTGCCCTTTATAATACGAATTAAAACTTGCACATCAGAAATGCAGAGCATTATTATCTTAAAGACCAAAAAATAGAAAGTAATCCTCTATTAAATGCAGAATTGGTCCTTGTTTTAAATAACCCTCTATGGTCAACATATGGTAAGGCATACAGCTCCCAGTTTTCTAGTGTACACAAGAATTTCACTATGGTAATGGTGAGCAGATGGATCAGACAACTGGTCATTTTTTAATTAAATCATACACCAAAGAAGGCTTAGAGTGGCTCTAAGAAAGACTATGACAATACAAATAGTTAATTGATCTTTAATTATTAGACATCAAGAAAAATCGTAGAAGGCCATATAGGTACCATTTGGGCAGCCAGTTCCAAAAAGCTGATACATGAAGAAATATATAAAAGGAAGGCAAAGCAAGTTCTGAGACAATGGTAGACAGTTTGGATTTAATGGATACTTATGGAGAACCTATTATAATGCCAGGCCATATTACACAACTGGAGTTAAAACTGAAGAAAACAGTCAAAAATCTCTTCCTTCATGAAGCTCATAATCTACTGGAAAGATAAATTAACCATGGATAAATACGCTGGGGCTTGATTATAAAATGAATTAACATTACAGATAATTTTGTTCTTCCTAAACCAATCCCTGTCCTTTTGTTTTTTTTTTTAACAGAAGTCAGCCTTTACTTTATTCTAAGGTGACAACAAACAGCAATAGTTGTCCCATACTTCCTGGCACAACAGAGTTACATCAGCCTATGCAATTCAAACTACAGCCTTCGTTTATGCCTTGCCATGTGACAGCATGTGATGGAGACGGAGACGCCAACAGACCCCAATAGATTGTGTTCACGTGAAAGCCAATTCCAACAGTTAGAAGCTGATCTGGCAGACATCCTTCCCTAATGACTCTTTCTAACATCTGAACATGCATTTTTCTAGATGCTTGCACCTTTTCACACTGTAAACACAAGCTTTCTGTCAAACACTGGTGTTAAATAATCATCCTTCCCCAGCCAACAGTTACTCGTATAGCAGAACTTGCCAATGAGTCTCTCAACACTGATTATCAGCCACACTATTTCCAAAGAAAACAGGGATGTTAACCCTGTTAGAATTTGTTCATTTTTTTCTTATGCTAAGTAAACACTAGCAAGGATGGAAGAAATAGGTTACCTTGGGCTTTGAATTTAAAGACACCATCATTAATGCAAAAAAACCACTTGTGTTATAAGTTCAGTTTTAAAAAAACATTTTTTAAAACAACTTTCATAACAATCATAGTGAAATTCCTTCAGGGTCTAATTCTGCACATACAACAGCAAAGTGATGAAATTATTTGTTTTTCAAGATAATGTAAAATAAATTGATTTAACTTTTTCTGAGGGCATTGAAAGATTCATTAAAATAAGATACAGCAAACACAAGAGATGACAAAGTGTTAAAGAACTTGATACTCTTCAAGAAGTTTGCATAACTGCTTAAATTGTTATAACTCAGAATCCCTTCTACCTACCTTTAGAACATAGTAAGGATGAGAAATGTAATTATCTGATCTAAATAGACGCTTTTCTCTCTTGTATCTTAGAGTGATGCCATCTATTAGAAATATAATGCAAGCCGCAAAAGTATTTTAAAACATTTTAGTAGCGATACTTTTAAAAAAGTAAAAACAAAGTAAAATTAATTTAAATATGAATTTTATTTAACGCCCTTTATCCAAAATGTTATCATTTCAACAAGTGTTCATTATAAAAAATCAAAAGACGTAACTTTTCCTTTTGTTGTTCTGATTCTATATTTTCAAGTTCTGGTGTCAATTTTATATTAACAGTACTTGTAAATTCAGACTAGTTACATTTTAAGTGCTGAATAGTCCCATATGACTAGTGGCTACTCTATTGGACAGTAGAGTTTTACAAGATTGAAACTATACCTGTATCACTGATAGGTACAATGCCAGGACAATTTTTATGTCATATCAGGGCCTGAAAATAATATAACAATGAAAGACATTTGTGAACTAATGTACAATTGAGGTGCATGTCATGTGATAATTTATCACAATATCCCACAGTGAAAGTGTTGATTCATGTTCCAATGGTAAGCAATGGACTACTGCTTACTGGTTGAGGAAGTCTAATATTCATCAATACTAAGAGCTGTTCAGAAAAAAGACATTTTAAGACACCAATCTTTTAAATTTCCTTTTCCCTTTATGTAACTTTAAAACAACTTGAGCAACAAATGTCAGAGTTTTAGAACCCCAATCCCTAAGAAGTAAAAATGAAGTAAAATAATTAAGGACTAGTCAACATATTCAGAAGTATCATTGCTTAACAGAAATGTCAAGTTTTGGGATGCTGCCTTCAAAATTCAGGGTTTATCTTTCCCAGAGTATTCCCTCTAGAATAATTCCTTTCGCCTTCTCTTTCATGTGATCCAAATGTCTTAAGCCTTATCATCTCGTGGCTGTAAATGATTAGTCATAAATGTATTTACTGGCTTTGGCTCACATTTGCTCATGCTATAGCTTTGGTTTCCTGTAAATTATCCTTTCAGATTTTTTTCTTGTGTCACAAGGTGTGTCTCATTGGTGCTCAGAAACCACCAGCATGCATTCCCTGTCCTGGTCTTCCACAAGCCCAGCTTTCCTCTTGGGTGTCTGGCTTTTCTCCATTTAATGTTTGAAGGTAACTTGCCCTTTTGATGGGCCTTTCTATAGGGTATTTTTTTAACACCTTTGAAGCGTATATAGCAGTAAAATTGCTGTTTTCTCCTGTTGTCAACAAGACAAAGCAAGCTTCTGCATATGGCTGTCCTAACAACTTATGTTGCCAAAACTGCTTTTGTACAATGCAGAGAAGATTGTCCTCTCCCTGGTGCTATGTGAGTTACTGTTTTAACTGGGCCCTAAGGTGATTCTGAATGTGTATTGTGTCTTATGTGGTTCTTAGCAAAAATGGCCACTTAACCTTCTATTGGAAGCTTCTCTTTAGTGGGTCAGATCAGGTCCCCAAGGCCAAGTGGTAATTTCACACCATCTTGTCTTCCAATTCACCATAAACCTGGTTTTCCTCCTACTATGCATTGCTTGTTATATTCCCAGTGCCAACAAAGGGGCTAAACTTACAGTAGGCAATAAATAAATTGAATAAATAATTAAAATTTTTTTTATAATTCCATTTTCATATTATCTCTATAAAACAATATTTATTTGAAATGTCTTAATTATTTTGACATATTTTAATTTTATTTTTCATAGGAGATTCTGAATGATTTTTTAAATGAAAATGGCTTTATTATTTTATTGGTGAAAGCAAGAGAAATTCATTGCACAAAATAAATCAAACTATAAAGATCTCTATAAAATTTCTTGCAATCCCTTACAGTGAAAATTTCTGTAATGGCTTGCTTAAAATACTTTCAGAGTTCTTTGTGTATTCTCTTTCTCATGAAGATTATATATTACATGTTGTATAATATGCCTTTTCATTCATTTTTATATAGTAGATATAATAAATACTTCAAGATTTTTAAAATGCCTAATATTTTATTATATATATGAACTATGAATAATAAATCATTTCCTATGGTGAATAATTTGTCTTTACTTATTTTTCCTTAAAGTCTCACTGTGAAAGATACATATCGTACTGTATAGAAGTTGGAGTTTGTTACTTATTATACCCTTTCAAGAATCTCATCAATGTAAGACCCTTGTGTAAAATGTTATCACATTGTATCTATTTACTCTTCCCTTTTAAGTATGTTGTTTAAAATTTTTAAAATAATGCATACAATTTATCATTAAAATGTCAAATTTGAGCATTTTTTCACATGCCTGTTGACCACGTGTGTGTCTTGTTTTGAAAAGTGTCTGTTCATGATCTTTTGCCCGCTTTTTAACGGAGTTATTTTTTGCTTGCTAATTTGTTTAAATTTCTTGTAGATTCTGGATATTAGACCTCTGTCCAATGGACAGTTTGCAAATATTTTTTCACATTCTGTAGGTTTTCTGTTTACTCTGTTGATAGTTTCTATTGCTGTGCAGTAGCTCTTTAGTTTAATTAAATCCCATTTGTCAATTTTTGCTTATGTTGCAGTTGCTTTTGGTATCTTTGTCATAAAATTTTTGCCCATTCCTCTGTGCAGAATAGTATTGTCTCCATTTTCTTCCAGGGTTTTTAAAGTTTTGGGTTTTACATTTAAGTCTTTAATCCAGCTTGGGTTGATTTTGTATATAGTATAAGGAGGGGTTCCAGTTTTAATCTTCTACATATGGTTAGCCAGTTATCTCAGCACCATTTATTGAAAAAGAGTCTTTTCCACGTTGCTTGTTTTTGTCAACTTTGTCTAAGCTCAGATGATTGCACGTGTATGGCATTATTTCTGGGCCCTCTATTCTGTTCTATTGGTCTATGTATATTTTTGTACCAATACCATGCTGTTTTGGTTACCGTTGCCTTGTACAATAGTTTGAAGTCGAGTTTCTTTTTGGTTAGGGTTGCTTTGGCTGTTTGGCTATAGGTTGCTTTGATTTCATATGCGTTTTAGAATAGTTTTTATAGTCCTTTGAATAATGTCATTGGTAGTTTGCTAGGAATAGCATTAAATCTGTAAATTCCTTTGGGTAGTATAGCCATTTTCACAATAATGATTCTTCCTATTCGTGAGAATGGAATGTTTTCCCATTCATTAGTGTCATCTCCAGTTTCTTTGAGCGGTGCTTGGAATTCTCATTGTAGAGATATTTCACCCCCCTGGTCAGCTGTATTCCTAGCTATTTCATTCTTTTGGTGGCTATTGTGAATGACATTGCATTCTTGACTTGGCTCTTAGCCAGGATGTTGTTGGTGTATAGAAATGCTACTGATTTTTGTGCATTAATTTTGCATGCTGAAACTGCTGAATTTGTTTATCAGATCAAGAAGATTTGAGGCAGAAACCACGGGATTTTATAGTTATAGAATCATACTATCTGCAAAGAGAGATAGTTTGACTTCTTCTCTTCCTATTTGGATGTTTTTATCTTCTTTCTCCTTTCTGATTGCTCTGACTGGGACTTTTAGTACTATGTTGAATGGAAGTTGTGAGAAAGGGCGTCCTTGTCTTGTTCTGGTTTTCAAGAGGAATACATCCAGCTTTTGTCCATTCAGTATGATATTGGCCATGTATTTTTCATAGCTGCTCCTTCTTATTTTGAATTATGCTCTTTCACTGATAACTACAGAAATGCCGCTCAAAATCACAATGAGATACCATCTCACACCAGTAAAAATTGCTATTACTAAAAGGTCAAAAATAACAGATGCTAGCAAGGTGGTAGAGAAAAGGGAACTCCTACACACTGTTGATGGGAATGTAAATTAATTCAACTATTATGGAAAGTAGTTTGATGATTTCTCAAAGAACTTAAAATGGTATTATCATTTGACCCAGCAATCCCATTATTGGGAACATACCCAAAGGAATATAAATTGTTCTACCATAAAGACACATGCAAGCATATGTCCATTGCAGAACTATTCACAATAGCAAAGACATGCAATGAACCCAAATGTCCATCAATGGTAAATTGGATAAAGAATGTGTGGTATATATATACAGTGTGGAACACTATGTAACTATGTAGCCATAAAAAATCATGTCCTTTGCGGCAACATTATGGAGCTAGAGGCCATTATTCTAAGCAAACAAACACAGGAACAGAAATTCAAATACTGCATGTTCTCACTTATAAGTGAGAGCTAAATGTTGAGTACACATGGACACAAATAAGGCAACAACAGACACCAGGGACTACTTGAGAGTGAAGGTTGGGAGAAGAGTAAGGATCAAAAAATTACCTGTTGAGTACTATGCTTATTACCCAGGTGATTAAATCATCTGTTTACCAAACCCCTGTGATATGCAATTTACCTGCATATAAAACTTGCACATGTACTACTATACCTAAAATAAAAGCTGAATAAAATGTCAAATTTAGCATACATGTTTACCCTTTTTTAGATGTTAAAGAATTTTTTAAATTTTTTAAATAATAAAAAGAAGAGTAGTGTTACCCTCATTAAAATAAAAATGTCAGGAATAGGGTAGAATAAGATGGCTGTACAGAACCCTCTAGTTATCATCCTCCACCCACGCTACACAAACACCAAATTGGATTATCCACACAAGAAATCACCATCATATGTACCAAAATTTAAGTGAGAAATCACAGTACCTGGTTTTAACATCGTAGCAAGGACAGAGGCATTGAAGAGGCATCTTTCCTCTATCCCCTGGCAGCAGCCATGTGGCACAGAAAGAGACTCCCTGTGTGTGGGAGAGGGAGAGTGAAGAGATAGTGGGATTTACTTTGGAACTCAGTGCTGCACAGTAACAGTGAGAGGTGAAGCCAGCTGGACTTACTGGGTGGAGTGGGGACTTGGAGAACTTTTCTGTCCTACAAGAGGATTGTAAAATGCACCAGTCAGCACTCTGCAGCTAGCAAGAGGATTGTAAAATGTACCAATCAGCGCTCTGTAAAAACGCACCAATCAGCACTCTGTAAAAGGCACCAATCAGCGCTCTCTAAAACGCACCAACCAGCAGGAGTCTAAAAGTAGCCAGTTGGGGGGAGGATTGAAAAAAGGGCACTCTGATAGGACAGAAATGGAACATGGGAGGGGAAAAATAAGGGAATAAAAGCTGGCCACCCCAGCCTGTAGCAGTAACCCACTCGGGTTCCGTACTACGCTGTGGAGGCTTTGTTCTTTCCCTCTTTACAATAGCGCTTGCTACCAATCACTGTTTGGGTTCATGCCATCTTTAAGAGCTGTAACATTCACCACAAATATCTGTGGCTTCATTTTTGAAGTCAGTGAGACCATGAATCCACCAGGAGGAACGAACTCCAGGCACTACAGCAGACAAGGGAGAATCCAGCCAAAGCCCATAGAGGGAGCGTTTACATTAGCTATCCATCCCAACAGTTAGAACCTGAGTTCGAGCCAGCTCCAGCACCAAAATATAAAGTGTTCTAGGGTTCTAAATAAATTTCAAAGGCAGTTTTTCAAGATATTTACATAATTTGTCTTCCAATGGCTGTAGAATACCCACTCTTCTCAGCACACGGGTCAATCGCAAGGACAGACCATATAGAGCCAAAAAACAAGTATTAAAACATTCAAAAAACTTGAAATCACATCAAGTATCTTCTCTGACCATAATGTAATAAAACTGAAAATCAATAACAAGAGAAATTGAAAAGTAAAATTAGAAATACAACATACCAAAACCTATGAAATACAAAAGGACTACTAAGAGAAAAGTTTTCAGGAAAAAGTGCCTACATCGCAAAAGTAGAAAAGCTTCAAATAAACAACCTAATGATACCTCTTAAAGAACTAGAAAAGCAAGAGCACATAAAATCCAAAATTAGTAGAAGAAAAGAAATAAGATCAGAAGAGAAACAAATACATTTGAAATGAAAACAATACAAAGAGCAACAAAATGAAAGTTGCTTTTAGAAAAGACAAAATAGAGAAAATCTTTAGAAAGAGTAGCTAAGAACAAGAGAACAACAAAATACGATAGAGATGAAAAAGAAGGTATTACAACTGATACTGCAGAAATTCAAAGGATTATTACAGACTACTGTAAGTAAATATATGCCAGTAAATTAAAAAACCTAGAATAAATGAATAAATTCTTACACATGTACAACTAGCTAAGATTAAACTATGAAGAAATCCAAAATCTGAATAGACCAATAACAAGTAATGAGGTCAAAGCAATAGTACAAATTATCCTATTAGAGAAAAGCCTGGAATCTTGGTTTCAGTGCTGAATTTTACCAAATACCAATTCTACTCAAACTATTCTGAAAAAGAGGAGGAGGAAATATTTCCCGACTTGTTCTATGAGGCCAAAACCAGACAAAGACACATCAAAAAAGAACACTATAGGCCAATATCTCTGATGAACACTGATGCAAAAATTTTCAACAAAATATTACCAAACCAAATTTAACAACACATTAAACATATCATTTATCATGACCAAATGAGATTTATCTGAGGGATACAAAGTTGATTCAACATAAATCAATCAATGTGACACATCATCGCAACAGAATGAAGGACAAAAACCATATGACATTTCAATTAATGCTGAAAAGGCATTTGACAAAATTTAATATTCCTTTATTATAAAAACCCTTTAAAATCTAGGTATAGAAAAAACATACCTCAACACAAGAAAAGCCATATGTAAGAGACCTACATTTAATATTATACGGAATCAGGAAACTGAAAGCCTTTTCTCTAAGATCTGGAACAAGACAAGGATGCCCACCTTCATCACTGATATTCAACATAGTACTGGAGGTCATAGCTAGTGCAAACAGACAAGATAAAGATATAAAGGCCATCCAAATTGGAAAGCAAGAAGTCAAATTATCCCTATTTGCAGATGATATGATCTAAATGTGGAAAACCTATATATTTCTCCAAAAAAACTGTTAGAACTAATAAATTTAGTAAAGTTGCCGGGTACAAAATCAACATAAAAAAATCAGTAGCCTTTTAATATGCCAACAGTGAACAACCTGAAAAAGAAATCAAGAATGCAACCCTATTTACAATAACTACAAATAAAATTAAATAACTCGGAATAACCAAAGAAGCAAAAGACCTTGTATTAGTCCATTTTCACACTGCTGATAAAGACATACCCAAGCCTGGGCAATTCACAAAAGAAAGAGGTTTGTTGGACTTACAGGTCCACGTGGCTGGGGAGGCCTCACAATCATGCTGGAAGGTGAAAGTCACTTCTTACATGGTGGTGGCAAGAGAGAGAATGAGAACCAAGCAAAATGGGTGTCCCCTTATCAAACTATCTCATGGTAGTGAGACTTATACACTACTACGAGAACAGTGTGGAGGAAACTGTTCAATTATCTCCCCATGATTCAATTATCTCCCACCGGATCCCTCACGCAACAGATGGGAATTATGGGAGTACAATTCAAGATAAGATCTGAGTGGGGACACAGAGCCAAACCATATCAAATCTCTACAATGGAAACTGTATAACACTATTAAAGAAATCGAAAGAGACACTAAAAAATGGAAAAATATTCCATGTTCAGGGGTTGAATCAATATTGTTAAAATGCTCATACTACCCAAAGGAATCTATAGATTTAATGCAATCCCTATCAAAATACGAATGACATTCTTCAAAGAGTAAATAGTCCTAAAATGTATATGGAAACACAAACAATCAGAATAAACAAAACCATCTGAGAAAAAAGAACAAAACTGGAGGAAGCACATTACCTAATTTCAAATTATACTACAGAGCTACAGTAACCAAATCAACATGGTACTGACATAAACACAGAAACATAGACCAATGAAACAGAATAGAAAAACAAAAAATTAATCCCTACATCGATAAACCATAAACTCATATTTGACAAAGGGCCAAGAACATAAATTGGAGAGAGGACATTCTCTTTAATAAATGGTGCTGGAAAAAATTGACATCCATATGCGGAAGAATGAAACTAGACCCCTATCTCTTACCATATACAGAAATCAAAATGAATTAAAAACTTAAATCTGAGTCCTGAAGCAATGAATCTACTAAAAGAAAACTTTGAGGAAACTCTCCAGGACTTTGGCCTAGGCAAGCATTTCTTGAATGATAATCCAAAAGTACAGGAAAAGAAAGCAAACATGGACAAATGGGTTCACATAAAGTTAAAAATTTCTGTACAGCAGACTAAACCATCAAAAAAGTGAAAAGACCACACACAGAATCCAAGGAAATACTTGCAAACTATGCCTCTGACAAGGGAATAATAACCATAATATATAAGGAGCTCAAACAACTCAATAGGAAAAAAAATAGTAATCTGATTAAAAATACACAAAAGATTTGAGTAGACATTTCTCAAAAGAAAACATACAAATGGCAAACAAGCATATGAAAAGTGCTCAATATCATTGATCATCAGAGAAATGCAAATCAAAGCTACAATGAGATTTCATCTCACCCCAGTTAAAATAGCTTTTATTCAAAAGATAGACAATAATGAATATTGGTGAGGATGTGGAGAAAAGGGAACTCTTGTACTCTGTTGGTGAGAATGTAAATTAGTATGGTCATTATGAAGAACAGTATAGAGGTTGCTCAGAAATCTAAAAATGGAACTACCATATGATACAGCAATCCCACTGCTAGTTCTACACCAAAAAGAAAGGAAATTAGTATATTAAAGAAATATCTGCATTTCCTTGTGTATTGCAGCACTATTCATAATAGCCAAGATTTGATAGGAATGTAAGTGTCCATTATCAGACAAATAGATACAGAAAATTAGAGTACTGTTCAGCCATAAAAATGTATTAGATTCTGCCGTTTGCAACAACATGGATGGAACTGGAGGTCATTATGTTAAGTGAAATAAGCCAGGCACAGAAAGACAAATTTCACTTGTTCTTTATGTTTTATGGGAGGTAAAATTTAAAATAACTGGACTCATGGAGATAGAGAGTAGAAGGATGGTTATCAGAGACTGGGAAGTGTAGTGTGTATTGGGGAAGTGGGGATGGCTAATGGGTACAAAAATATAGGTTGATGGAATGAGTAAGATCTAGTATTTGAAAGCACAACAAGGTTACTACAGTCAACAGTAATTTATAGTACATTTCAACATAACTAAAATAGTATAACTGGAAGGTTTATAAAACAAAGAAATGATATACGTTTGAGGAGATGGATACTCCATTTTCCCCAATGTGATTATTATGCATTATATGCCTGTATCAAAATAAATCATGTACCCCATAAATATACACACCTACTATGTACCCACAAAATTTAAAAATTTAATGAAAATAAAAATGTCAATATCATTGAAGTAATATTATATATGTGTGTGTATATATATATACATGCATACACATACCATATACACACACACATACACATATATATAGATAGTATTATTAGAAAAAGAATACTATAGCTTGATCATCTCTTGACACGGATGCATATAAGTCTACCTAATTCTTTTTAATGACTTCATAGTATTTCATTCCATACATCTACCATAACTCATATTCTAATAATTGACTTTGAAAATGCTTAGTTTATATTCTATTAAATACCATAATAAAATATCCTGATGTATATATCTTTATTCTTTTGAGTGAATGTAAGTATATCATACAGGTTTGGCAATACAATTGCTATATCAAAGAGGTCATGTTTTTTCAATTCTGATGGCTATTGCAGAAATGTCTAAAAAATTTATGCAGTTGCCAAAAACATATGAGAGTGTCTGTTTCTTAATATCTGAAAACTGGAAAATGATGAAAATGTTTTATATTCTTTTTAATGACTAATTAAAATCTTTTTAATGACCTCATAGTATTTCATTTCATACATCTACCATAACTCATATTCTAATAATTGACTTTGAAAATGTTTAGTTTATACTCTATTAAATACCATAATAAAATATCCTGATGTATATGTCTTTATTCTTTTGAGTGAATGTAACTATATCATACAGTTTTAGCAATACAATTGTTATATCAATGAGATCATGTTTTTTCAATTCTGATATTATTGCAAAAATGTCTAAAAAATTTCACACTTGCCAAAAACATATGAGAGTGTCTATTTCTCAGTATCTGAAAACTGAAAAATGATGAAAATTTTTTATAGTTGTCAAATAGGTGGCAAATCATATCTCCTTCTGACTTTAACATTTCTGAATATAGGACTACTGTACTGTATTTTATATTTCTCATTCCCTAGCTTTTTAAAAATATTTTTACTACAAATTATATGTGCCAATATTTATTTATTTGTTTATTTATTTATGAGACAGAGTCTCACTCTATCACCAAGTCTAGAGTGCAGTGGCATGATTGTGGCTCATTGCAGCCTTGAACTCCTGGGCTCAAGCGATCCTCCCACCTCAGCCTCCCAAGTAGCTACGACTACAGACATGTGCCACCATATCCAGCTAATTTTTATTTTTATTTTTTAGAGACTCTCACTTTGTTACCCAGGTTGGTCCTGGATTCCTGGCCTCAAGCAATCCTTCCATCTCGATCTAAATGGTCAGGCATGAGCCACTGTGCTGGGCTACATATACCAATATTTATATTGTTCAAGTTTTTAAGTTCTTGAATCAAATAGTCATTACAAATTTATTTATATTATTTATTTGCTCTTTTTCTGTATAATTCAAACATGTTGATACACATCATGGGAGTTAATTAGTTTCCCTGTGCCACTGTGGCCCAGTGTTGAATATATTACATTTCCTTTAATCCATCCCCCTGTTTTACATTTGAGTTCTTACTTTCCTGCTGTTCGAAATAATGCTGCTATTAACATTCTTCTATCTCCTAGTGCAAGTATATAATTATCTTATCAAAGGAACATAATTTTTGATATGTGTAGGTAATTCTAATTTATTATTATTACTATTATTATTATTATATTATTATTTTGAGACAGAGTCTCACTCTGTTGCCCAGGCTGGAGTGCAGTGGTGCAGTCTCGGCTCACTGCAACCTCTGCCTCCTGGGTTCAAGCGATTCTCCTGCCTCAGGCTCCTGAGTAGCTGGGACTACAGGCACCCGCCACCATGCCCAGCTAATTTTTTGTGTTTTTAGTAGAGACAGGGTTTCATGGTGTTAGCCAGGATGATCTCAGTCTCCTGACCTCGTGATCAACCCGCCTCGGCCTCCCAAAGTGCTGGGATTACAGGCGTGAGCCACCATATCCAGCCTCCAAATCAATATCCTTGTAAGAAAGTGTCATGGTATTTTCTGACTTTCCAATTTTTATCAATTAAGTTGTTAAAGTGGTTTCTTACTGCGGTTTCATTTGTTTTTCTATGATTTCTAATAAGGTTGACCATTTGTCTTTATTTGTATTGGTCACTCATATTATTGATTCTAGGCAATGCCTTTTTTTCATATTTGGTCAACTAGTTTTTTTTTTTAACTGATTTTTTAAAGTGGTACCTGTTTTATATTTGCCTATTTTTGGTTATATGTGACAATTTTAATTTCCCATTTAGAAAATTATGTTTTCACTTTTAAAATTTATAATTTTAAAAACCGCATTTTAGTATGATCTATTTTATTAATGTTTTTATTTTTGTAGATGTTTCTGTTGACATTTTCTTCTAGAATCATTTTCTACCTCAAAATAAAAACTGTCTTTTCTTTTAAATGCTTTATAACATTAATTATCACAAAGAAGTGCTTTTCTCATGGAGTGTGTGTGTACTAGAAATCCTTTGTCATTGTTCCACATGACTTAGTAATTGCCCCAGTACCATTATTGAATAGATCATCTTTTCGCATTGATCTCACCGCTGTTATATATTGAATCTTCATATGTTTGTGTGCCCTTGCCAATACATTTTTATTCAATTTCCCTCTTTTGGTTTTTCTATTTGCTATCCCTTCCCAACACCAACCTTGGAATATCTATTGTATAACATTTGCTACTGATAATACTGTGCCATTATCATTTTATCATTATTAATTTAGCTTCATTATAATTTTTATATCAGTTAGGGCCACCCAATCTTAACATTTTGCTTCAAAAATGTTTTGGCCCTTTCATGGACTCTAATACTTCTACAATTACTTTAAAATGAGTGTGTCAAGGACCATAAAAATTATTTTGGATTTTTCCTTAGAATTTCATTGAAGGCATTAAATTATAAGTTAATTAAGAAAAAGTAATATCTGTACTAATGAATAATGTCTCACATGAACATGAACATAAACCTTCATTTCTTTTAGTTCTTTTGCAGTTTTACTCATGAACATATCACATCCTGTTTGTTACACACATTTTTAAAATTTTTTTATATTTTCTGTAATTAAGAAATAATATAGATATTGTTTTTAATTTCTAAAGCAAAGGATTTACTCTTATTTTAATTTTCATGTTTAAGTTAATGTATCAGAAATCAATTCAAATTATTTAATGTATTTTAAATCAATTTAAATTATTTAATTATTTTTAAAATTATATTAAGAAAATTAAATTCATTTTATTTAAATTAAATTTGTGCTGACAGAATATTATCTGCACAATAACAATCTTTTCAATATGTTGAGATTTTTATGATGTAGAATATGATGAATTATCATTAATATTGCCTCTGAGCTTGAAGAGAATGAATATTCTTCAATTATTAGGTGGAAGGATCTACAGATGTTCATTATTTTAAGTGTGATTGTATGTAGTTTAAATCTTCTCTATCTTTATGAATGGTGTTAATTATTCAATATGTCATCACTAGAATGTTAAATTCTCCAAATATATTGTTAATTTTGTCCATTTCTTCTTATAATTCTAATCAAATTTATTGATTTTCTTGGTTTTTGAAACTATATGATTAGACACATATAAGTTCTGAATTGTTACATATTCTTGATGTATTTAAATTCATCATTATCAACTACCCTGATTTCCTAGCATTAGGTTACTGTTTGCCTTGTATATATATTTTTTGACACCATTTATTTTTAATCTTTTAATTTTCCAACTTTTTAGGTGAATCTTGAATAAAATGCACACTGTGATACTTTAAAAAATTTCTGTAAGATAACATTTATTCATAACTACAGGGATTCTTTTCATATCAATAATGAAATCATAATTTTCATTATTTTGACAGATATATTTTTATTATTTCTAGCCTATGACTTTATTCTTTCTATTTATCTTACTTTTTCTGTATTTCTTTGCGTCTTCCTCAATTTTGTATTTATTGAATAATCTATATTAATATCTACATATACACAAAAATGTACATTATGTATGATACACATACAATAAGATGCATTAAATTTTAATAGGGTAGTTTAATCTTGATGTATGCACCTGTGTTATTACCACTCTTTTTGAAATATTTGAAAACATTAGAATTACCTCAGCATATTCCCTCATGCTTAATGCTGTTAATCCCTGCAACGCTTTCACTTTCTGACATCTGTGGATTACGTTATTATGTATCACCATAAGCTACATTTTCCTGTTCTATCTTCATATAAATGGTATCACATAGTTTATATTATTGTGTATCTAACCTAATTTACTCAATATAACAATGAAATTGAGAGTTACTTTAATTAGAACTATGCTAGTGGATGTAAAATGACATGTTATCGTGACTTCAATTTGTGTTTTTTAATAATAGTATTGAGTTTATTGATTGTTTGTCTTTTTTTTGAAGTGTTTGTTCACAGTATTTTTTTATTTATATTGGATGGTTGAGTTGTAAAAGTCACAAATGTATTTTAGATATACACCCTTTCCCTGATATATTTGTTATAAATATTTTCCCCAGTGTATCACTTGTCTTTTTATTTTCTTAGTGGTATCTTTCAAAGAGCAGTTTTTAGTTTTGATAAAGTTGAATTTATTATTTGTTTCTTTTATGATTCATGCTTTCTATATTATAGAAAAAATTGCCTTTGCCAAGGACATTATAATTTTTTTCTCCCATAGATACGCAATTGTTTTGTTACAGAGCAATCAGTGGGCTTTCTGCCTGGCGTGCATAGAGAAGGCCAATATCATAGCACCAGCTTTTGAAAAAAAGAAAGCTTTACTGTGAGTCAACTGGCAAGGAGACAAAAGGAAAAGCTCAAATCTTTTTCCCTGAACTGGGGTTTGGGCTGAGTTTTATAAGCATAAGGTAATGAGGTGTGATCTGATTGGATCTTACAATGAGGTGAGGCCAGGAGACATGATCTGACTGGATCCTGAATCCAGCCCTGTCGTGTCCACTTCTTAATTCAGTCCCTGCTCCTGGGACCAAACACTTAGGTTCCACCTGTGGTTGCAGAGTTGGTTCATCTGGACATGCTCAGGTTAAGTGATCTTTAACCTGTCAGTCCACAGCAACTGAAAAACAACTCACAAGCGCCGGGCACGGTGGCTCACGCCTGTAATCCTAGCACTTCGGGAGGCCGAGGCGGGTGGATTGCCTGAGCTCAGGAGTTTGAGAACAGCCTGGGCAACGCTGTGAAACCCCGTCTCTACTAAAATACAAAAAATTAGCTGGGCGAGGTGGCGGGTGCCTGTAGTCCCATCTACTCGCGAGGCTGAAGCAGGAGAATCACTTGAACCCGGGAGGCGGAGCTTGCAGTGAGCCGAGATCCTGCCACTGCATTCCAGCCTGGGCGACAGAGCGAGACTCCGTTTCCAAAAATCAAAACAAAACAAAAAAACCTCGCAACTTTCTTACCTGAAAGTTGAACCAGATTCATCCGGCGCAGTTATAGTTTCAAAATAATTTGTTAAAATGACACTATATATGAGATTCTATTTCTATCCTATAGATCTATATGTCTATCTTTTTTGTTTGTTTGTTTGTTTTTGAGATGGAGTCTGGCTCTGTCGCCCAGGCTGGAGTGCAGTGGCGCGATCTTGGCTCACTGCAAGCTCTGCCTCCCGGGTTCACGCCATTCTCCTGCCTGAGCCTCCGGAATAGCTGGGACTACAGGAGCCCATCACCATGCCTGGCTAATTTTTTTTGTATTTTTAGTAGAGACGGGGTCTCACCGTGTTAGCCAGGATGGTCTCAATCTCCTGACCTCGTGATCCGCCCACCTCAGCCTCCCAAAGTGCTGGGATTACAGGCGTGAGCCACTGCGCCTGGCCGTATATGTCTATCTTTTTGCCATTTATGTACTGTCTTAATGAATGCAACTTTATGATAAGTCTTGAAATCAGGTACTATGAGTCCTCTAAGTATTTTTATAAAGGCTATTCATGGGCTTTGCACTTTTAATATAATTTTAGATAAATTTTATAATCAGAAATAGTATACACTAGAAGACAATATATTGATATTGTCTAAACAATGAAAGGAAGAGGAAGGAAAATGTTGACTCAGAATTCAGTATCTGGTGAAAATATCTTCAAAAACAATGGCGTAAAAATACGATTTCACATAATTGAAAGCTGAACTAATTTGTTAATAACACACCTAAATTACCAGCAAAGTGAAAGGGAATATGTGAGTGTGAACATAAATTATTCCAGAAGGAAACTTGGATCTATGGAAATAATAGAGAGCACCATTATTTCCCTGTATGTGTCATTTTTCTCTGACTGCTTTTATGACTTTTTTCATTGGCTTTAGTTTTTAACAGTTTGACCATAATGTGCTTACAATGTGTGGTTTTATTTCCATTTTTTATCTACATGGTTTGTTTAGTATGATTCAGCAGGTCACATATTTTTCTTGATAAATTTTTCTCTCTAATGTTAAATTGTATGGTTTCTATGACTTTATTTTAAATTCACAAATCCTTTCTTCTGCTGTCTCTACTCTGCGATTATGTCCTTTCAGGGAAGTTTTTATGTCAATTATTGTTCTCTTCAATTCTAGAATTTTCATTTGGTTTTATAAGTTTTTATTTCTCTGATTCTTTATCTCATTAAGACTATACATTTCATTAAATATATTTATAATAAGGGTTTTAAAGTTCCTTTTTGCTAGTTCTACATACATATACTTCTTCAATTCATGCCTGAAATATATACAGGATGGAATTATATGGGTGGAACTTTTTGCTAGATGAATGTATTAAAATAGGCCTGAATTTAAGAACTACTTTTACTCTTCACCAGTATATGGTCTGAAACTCATGATTCCTGTGGAGAAGATATAGGTCACTTGGGAGCCAGTCTTGAGATATATTAAATCATGCCTAAGGAGGCCAGTAGGAGACGGAAGATAATTTCAGAAGTAAGGGGTTGGGAAAGTACTTTTTGAAGTTCAGCAGAGGAAAGAATTTTGAACGACTCTCCAGGGTGATAAATTTGTCCATGTCAAGAAAGCTGATGGTGAGGGATTCTAAAGTGAAAGGATAATGTTTCAGCTATCTGAGAGTGTGCCCATAAGAAAAAAAAAAATTAACATTGCTGATTCCTAGAAGAAATCAATGCCAGATTAGTGAAAGTCAAGTAAAAGCTTTTCTGCATGCCTTCTTTTCTTTTCTTCCAATTTAACCCTGGAGGAGTTCAAAGTAATGTAATAATTGAGAAGCATAAAAATGTTAGACAATGATGCAGAGAATACCTCAATCGAGGCCTACCTTTTTCACCAAATTCTCTTCATTTTAGGAGATTTGGGCTGGGCAAGGTGCAGTGGTAGAGATAGGGCAGTGAGAGAAAAAGACATGATTATTTCTTTGCAAATCTATACATTTGTAAAGAAATTAATAATTCATACGTTTCTTCACAGATCTCCAATTTCTAAGTTTTTGTATTTTGTTTTGTTTTCTTTTGCTTTTTTAAAATCTTAAATGAGACAGTTATTTTCTTAGTTAAGACTGTTCTGTGTCTAAAATAATAGAATATTTTAAATTATTACTTTCAAATAAAAACAATTTATGAGGTCTTGTAGAGATCAGTCAGGAGCAAGACAGGAACTAACCACATAAAGTGAGTATGAATAGGATGGGATTATATGTGAATAAAGTTGTTTTCCAATTGTCCCTTACAAGTACATATTGTTGAACTTCATTGGTGTGTTTTGCTCAAAATAAAATTTGCTTTGCCAGGTAGTGATAACAGCCTAGGACTGTTTTAAATTAAACTGTTGGGCTTTATTGTTTCATTTACTTATAAGGATTGATATATATTTATGATTCCTGGGGAAAGTCTTTTTGTTTTCTCCTGCCTAGAGCCAAGATAGGAGTCTCTATGCTCCCCCCTTTTTAAAAAATGACATCTTTTAAAGTTTAGTAACAAGAAATTCTGGCCTTATATGGGGCTTGAAAAACTGATTCCCCATCTTGCCTGGGCCCAAGACTTTGCCTCCTGTCCCTTTAAACAGAAGGGCTAATGTACTAGAGATAAGACGTTCCCTTCATTATAGCTGTCTACCTTGAAACTAGCTTGTCTTTGAATTCCTGCACATATTTTGATGTGGTCTCTTAGAATTGTTTTTAATTTTGTTGCAAACTGATTCATGGTTGGGAGGGAAGAAGAGAGGTTTTTTTAAAATGTTATTTAGCCTTTTGGTGTATTTTGTGGTTAAATTAATTTTCAGTATACCCTGTTGGTCATATTTCTGGTAATTGAAGCACTTTCATCTCTTTGAGGATAATTATCATATTTTTAAAATTCTTGATCAGTATCTTCTACTACAGTTTGTTTGGATTTTTCTCTCTCACTCTCTCTCTCTAAGTTCCTTAGATATCTGGTTGTTTGTGCCTCTCAGCTTACTTTCTTTTTGTCATTTTGTTTTATTATTATTATACTTTAAGTTCTAGTGTACATGTGCACAACATGCAGGTTTGTTACATACGTATACATGTGCTGTGTTGGTTTGCTGCACCCACTAACTTGTCATTTACATTAGGTATTTCTCCTAATGCTATCCCTCTCCCATCCCCCCACCACATGACAAGCCCTGGTGTGTGATGTTCCTCGCCCTGGCCCTGTGTCCAAGTGTTCTCATTGTTCAACTCCCACCTATGAGTAAGAACATGCAGTGTTTGGTTTTCTGTCCTTGAGATAGTTTGCTGAGAATGATGGTTTCCAGCTTCATCCATGTCACTACAAAGGACATAACTCAACCTTTTTTATGCCTGTATGGTATTCCATAGTGTATATGTGCCACATTTTCTTAATCCAGTCTATCACTGATGGCCATTTGGGTTGGTTTCAAGTTGTTGCTATTGTGAATAGTGCCACAGTAAACATACGTGTGCATGTGTCTTTATAGTAGCATGACTTATAATCCTTTGGGTATATACCCAGTAATGGGATCACTGGATCAAATGGTATTTCTAGTTATAGATCCTTGAGGAATTGCCACACTGTCTTCCACAATGGTTGAACTAGTTTACACTCCCACCAACAGTGTAAAAGCATTCCTATTTCTCCACATCCTCTCCAGCACTTGTAGTTTCCTGACTTTTTAATGATTGCCTTTCTAACTGGTGTGAGATGGTACCTCATTGCGGTTTTGATTTGCATTTCTCTGATGACCAGGGATGATGAGCATTTTCTCTTGTGTCTGTTGGCAGCACAGTCTTCTTTTGAAAAGTGTCTGTTAACATCCTTTGTCCACTTTTTGATGGAGTTGTTTGATTTTTTCTTGTAAATTTGTTTAAGTTATTTGTAGATATTAGCCCTTTGTCAGATGGGTACATCGCAAAAATTTTCTCCAATTCTGCAGGTTGCCTGTTCACTCTGATGGTAGTCTCTTTTGCTGTGCAGAAGCTCTTTAGTTTAATTAGATCCCATTTTTCAATTTTGGCTTTTATTGCCATTGTTTTGGTGTTTTAGTCAGGAAGTCTTTGCCCATGCCTATGTCCTGAATGGTATTGCCTAGATTTTCTTCTAGGGTTTTTATAATTTTAGGTCTAACATTTAAGTCTTTAATCCACCTTGAATTACTTTTTGTATAAGGTGTAAGGAACGGATCCAGTTTCAACTTTCTACATACAGCTAGCCAGTTTTCCCAGCACCATTTATTAAATAGGGAATCCTTTCCCCATTTCTTGTTTTTGTCAGGTCTGTCAAAGATCAGATGGTTGTAGATGTGTGGTGTTATTTCTGAGGCCTCTGTTCTGTTCCATTGATCTATATCTCTGTTTTGGTACCAGTATCATGCTGTTTTGGTTACTGTAGCCTTGTAGTGTAGTTTGAAGTCAGGTAGCATGATGCCTCCAGCTTTGTTCTTTTGGCTTAGGATTGTCTCGGCAATGTGGGCTCTTTTTTGGTTCCATATGAACTTTAATGTAGTTTTTTCCAGTTCCGTGAAGAAAGCCAATGGTAGCTTGATGGGGATGGCATTGAATGTATAAATTACCTTGGGCAGTATGGTCATTTTCACGGTATTCATTCTTGCTATCCATGAGCATGGAATGTTCTTCCATTTGTTTGTGTCCTCTTTTATCTTGTTGAGTAGTGGTTTGTAGGTCTCCTTGAAGAGGTCCTTCACATCCCTTGTAAGCTGGATTCCCAGGTATTTTATTCTCTTTGAAGCAATTGTGAATGGGAGTTCACTCATGACTTGGCTCTCTGTTTGTCTGTTATTGGTGTATAAGAATGCTTGTGATTTTTGCACATTGATTTTGTATCCTGAGACTTTGCTAAAGTTGTCTGTCAGCTTAAGGAGATTTTGGGCTGAGACGATGGGGTTTTCTAAATATACAATCATGTCATCTGCAAACAGGGACAATTTGACTTTCTCTTTTCCTAATTGAATGCTCTTTATTTCTTTCTCTTGCCTGATTGCCTTGGCCAGAATTTCCAACACTATGTTGAATAGGAGTGGTGAGAGAGGGCATCCCTGTCTTTGCCAACTTTCAAAGGGAATGCTTCCAGTTCTTGCCCATTCAGTATGATACTGGTTGTGGGTTTGTCATAAATAGCTCTCATTATTTTGAGATATGTTCCATCAATACCTAGTTTATTGAGAGTTTTTAGCATGAAGGGCTGTTGAATTTTATCTAAGGCCTTTTCTCCATCTTTTGAGAGAATCATGTGGTTTTAGTCTTTGGTTCTGTTTATGTGATGGATTACGTTTATTGATTTGCCTATGTTGAACCAGCCTTGCATCCCAGGGATGAAGCCAACTCGATCTTGATAGATAAATTTTTTGATGTGCTGCTGGATTCGGTTTGCCAGTATTTTATTGAGGATTTTTGCATTGATGTTCATCAGGGATATTGGTCTAAAATTCTCTTTTTTTTTTTTTTTTTTTTTGTTGTTGTTGTTGTTGTTGTGTCTCTGCCAGGCTTTGGTATCAGGATGATGCTGGCCTCATAAAATGAGTTAGGGAGGATTCCCTCTTTTTCTATTGATTGGAATAGTTTCAGAAGGAATGGTACCAGCTCCTGTTTGTACCTCTGGTAGAATTTGGCTGTGAATACATCTGGTCCTGGACTTTTTTTGGTTGGTAGGCTATTAATTATTGCCTCAATTTCAGAGCCTGTTGTCTATTCAGAGATTCAACTTCTCCCTGGTTTAGTCTTGGAAGGGTGTATGTATCCAGGAATTTATCCATTTCTTCTAGATTTTCAAGTTTATTTGCATAGAGGTGTTTATAGTATTCTGTGATGGTAGTTTGTATTTCTGTGGAATCGGTGGTGATATCCCCTTTATCGTTTTTTATTGCGTCTATTTGAGTCTTCTCTCTTTTTTTCTTTTTCAGTCTTGCTAGTGGTCTATCAATTTTGTTGATCTTTTCAAAAAACAAGCTCCTAGATTCATTGATTTTTTGAAGGGTTTTTTGTGTCTCTATTTCCTTCAGTTCTGCTCTGATCTTAGTTATTTCTTGCCTTCTGCTAGCTTTTGAATTTGTTTGCTCTTGCTTCTCTAGTTCTTTTAATTGTGATGTTAGAGTGTCAATTTTAGATCTTTCTTGCTTTCTCTTGTGGTCATTTAGTGCTATAAATTTCCCTCTACCCACTGCTTTGAAGGTGTCTCAGAGATTCTGGTATGTTGTGTCCTTATTCTCATTGGTTTCAAAGAACATATTTATTTCTGCCTTCATTTTGTTATGTACCCAGTAGTCATTCAGGAGCAGGTTGTTCAGTTTCCATGTAGTTGAGCGGTTTTGAGTGAGTTTCTTAATCCTGAGCTCTTATTTGATTGCGCTTTGGTCTGAGAGACAGTTTGTTGTGATTTCTGTTCTTTTACATTTGCTGAGGAGAGCTTTACTTCCAACTATGTGGTCAATTTTGGAATAAGTGTGATGTGGTGCTGAGAAGAATGTATATTCTGTTGATTTGAGGTGGACAGTTCTATAGATGTCTACTAGGTCTGCTTGGTGCAGAGCTGAGTTCAAGTCCTGGATATCTTTGTTAACCTTCTGTCTCGTTGATCTGTCTAATATTGACAGTGGGGTTTTAAAGTTTCCCATTATTATTGTGTGGGAGTCTAAGTCTCTTTGTAGGTCTCTAAGAACTTGCTTTATGAATCTGGGTGCTCCTGTATTGGGTGCATATATATTTAGGATAGTTCACTCTTCTTGTTGAATTGATCCCTTTACCATTATGTAATGTCCTTCTTTGTCTCTTTTGATCTTCGTTGGTTTAAAGTCTGTTTTATCAGAGATTAGGATTGCAACCTCTGCTTTTTTTTTTTTTTTTTTTTTTTTGCTTTCCATTTGCGTGGTAGATCTTCCATCCCTTTATTTTGAGCCTATGTGTGTCTCTGCACATGAGATGGGTCTCCTGAATACAAAACGTTGACGGGTCTTGACTCTTTATCCAATTTGCCAGTCTGTGTCTTTTAATTGGGGCATTTAGCCCATTTACTTTTAAGGTTAATATTGTTATGAGTGAATTTGATCCTGTCCTTATGATGTTAGCTGGTTATTTTGCCCGTTAGTTGATGTTGTTTCTTCCTAGCATCGATGGTCCTTACAATTTGGCAAGTTTTTGAAGTGGCTGGTACTATGTGTTCCTTTCCATGTTTAGTGTTTCCTTCAGGAGCTCTTGTAAGGCAGGCCTGATGGTGACAAAATCTCTCAGCATTTGCTTGTTTGTAAAGGATTTTATTTCTCCTTCACTCATGAAGCTTAGTTTGGCTGGATTTGAAATTCTGGGTTGAAAGTTCTTTTCTTTAAGAATGCTGAATATTGGCCCCCACTCTATTCTGGCTCGTAGGGTTTCTGCAGAGAGGTTTGCTGTTATTCTGATGGCCTTCCCTTTCTGGGTAACCTGACCTTTCTCTCTGGCTGCCCTTAGCATTTTTTCCTTCATTTCAACCTTGGTGAATCTGACAATTATGTGTCTTGGAGTTGCTCTTCTCGAGGAGTATCTTTGTGGTCTTCTCTGTATTTCCTGAATTTCAGTGTTGGCCTGCCTTGGGGAATTTCTCCTGAATAATATCCTAAAGAGTGTTCACCAGCTTGGTTCCAGTCTCCCTGTCACTTTCAAGTACACCAATCAAATTTAGATTTGGTCTTTTCACATAGTTCCATATTTCTTGGAGGCTTTGTTTGTTTCTTTTTACTCTTTTTTCTCTAAACTTCTCTTCTCACTTCATTTCATTCATTTGATCTTCAATCGATACCCTTTCTTCCACTTGATCGAATAGGCTACTGAAGCTTGTGCATGCATCACGTAGTTCTCCTGCCATGGTTTTCAGCTCCATCAGGTCATTTAAGGTCTTCTCTACACTGTTTATTCTAGGTAGCCATTCAGCTAATCCTTTTTTAGCTTCCTTACAATGGGTTCGAATATCCTCCTTTAGCTCAGAGAAGTTTGTTATTACTGACTTTCTGAAGCCTACTTCTGTCAACTTGTCAAAGTCCTTCTCCATCCTGCTTTGTTTCATTGCTGGTGAGAAGCTGTGATGCTTTGGAGGAGAAAGAGCACTCTGCTTTTTAGAATGTTCAGCTTTTCTGCTCTGGTTTCTTCCCATTTTTGTTTTGGTCTTCGGTGATGTTGACCTACAGATGGGGTTTTGGTGTGGATGTCCTTTTTGTTAATGTTGATACTATTCCTTTCTGTTTGTTAGTTTTCCTTGTGAGAGTCAGGTCCCTCAGCTGCGAGTCTGTTGGAGTTTTGCCGGAGGTCCACTCCAGCAAACGCTTTTTGCCTGAGTATCACAAGCAGAGGCTGCAGAACAGCAAATATTGCAGAACAGCAAATATTGCTGCCTGATCCTTCCTCTGGAACTTTGTCTCAGAGGGGCATCTGGCTGTATGAGGTGTCAGTCGGCTTCTACTAGGAGGTGTCTCCCAGTTAGGCTACACAGGGTTCAGGGACCCACTTGAGGAGGCAGTCTGTCCGTTCTCAGTGCTCAAACACCATGCTGGGAGAACCACTGCTCTCTTCAGTGCTGTTAGACAGGGAAGTTTAAGTCTGCAGAAGTTTCTGCTGCCTTTTGTTCAGCTGTGCCCTGCCCCTGGAGGTGGGGTCTAAAGAGGTGGGCAAGCCTTGTTGAGCTGTGGTGGGCTCCACCCAGTTCGGGTTTCCCAACCGCTTTGTTTACCTACTCAAGCCTCAACAATGGCGGATGCCCCTCCCCCAGCCAGGCTTGCCGCCTCGCAGTTTGATCTCGGGCTAGCAGTGAGCAAGTTTCCTTGGGCATGGGACCCAGTGAGCCAGGTGCGGGATATCATCTCCTGGTGTGTCGTTTGCTAAGACCATTGGAAAAGTGCAGTGTTTAGGTGGCAGTGTCCTGATTTTCCCAGTACAGTCTGTCACGACTTCCTTTGGCTAGGAAAGGAAATCCCTTGACCCCTGGCGCTTCCCAGGTGAGGCGATGCCCTGCCTTGCTTTGGCAAAGCATCCCCTTTCCATGGACTGCATCCACTTTCCAACCAGTCCTAATGAGATGAACCAGATACCTCAGTTGGAAATGCAGAAATCACCAGTCTTCTGCGTTAATCATGCTGGGAGTTGCAGACAAGAGCTGTTCCTATTAGGCCATCTTGGAATGGAACCTCTCTTTTTGTCTTATTTTTAAGAGGGGTGAGGTGCATGCCCCAAGGCAGACAGCTCACATCTCCCTGAGACTGGCTTAATTCTTTCTCTTCCATTCACTTTCCCGTCACTGGGTAATCCTGTCATCCTGTGACTCTCTGTATGTCAGACCTAGACACTGCTCTAGTCAGAGCACTTAATGTTCTAAAGGTGTTAGTTAGGGAACTAAAATGCTTAAGGACAAGTGGGTCAACCTATCTTATTGTCATTTGCTTGTCAGTCCCTAACCAGCCCTTAGTAACATGTTCTCAGGCCAATCTCTGCAGTGGTGGAGAAGCAGGCAGTGACATTCCTAAGGAAATGTGATACTCAGGCAAAAAGCGTTTGCTGGAGTGGACCTCCAGCAAAACTCCAACAGACTCGCAGCTGAGGGACCTGACTCTCACAAGGAAAACTAACAAACAGAAAGGAATAGTATCAACATTAACAAAAAGGACATACTATTGTGGGACTGCAGGACCAGTCTTGGCTGTGTCTTGGGCTAATACTATTCTCACCAGCATTCAACTGCCCTGTCTCTCCCAAGGTTTAATTTAATTAATGCCCCAGGTAGGATGAAGCAGGATAGTGTGAGATTTTATCATGTTACTTAGAACAGCACGCAATTTAAAACTTAGGAATTGCTTATTTCTGGAATTTACCATTTAATATTTTTGAACCATGGTTGACCATGGGTAAATAAAACATTGGAAATTAAAACTGTGGATAAGGGGGAATTACTGTATTTTAATGGATTTAAGTGAAAAACTAATAAACAGTTACTGAGCATTTAGCATGTTTTAGACAATAAACTCATTATTTTCTATACATGATCTCAATTTATTTTGGCTAAAATCCTCCAAAACAAAAGTAATTATTTACTTTTTAAATGGAATGAGAGGAGAGAACAGAATCAAGGTAAGTAACTAGGAAAGGATCAAACTCACAGTTTGTGGTATAGCCAGAATACTAAATCCAGATCGCTTTGATTCCAAAATTGTTGCTCTCAACATATGCTATAACCAACATGGGAACCAGATCATACCACATAATACCTAAATGTTCTGTGGTACAGTGATATTGACTAAAATGAATTTGGAGGTCCTTTAATTCTATAAATTCAATGTTAAACTTGTTCAATATTTGCGAAGTAAGATATACCTGTAATCATGAAAACATTCCACTTGTTTCATTGCAGGAAAAAAAATTAGTAATGCATATAGAACATTTTCTAAGTAGACATCTAATTTGTGATATACATTGAAGGATATTTGTTTATAGAATTTTTTTGTTAAAAATTAGAATTAAGGATTTAGAACCTAAATACTTTATTACAGTTAAAGACTTCTGTGGTCTTTCTTTTTTTAAAATAAGGGAAAACTCAAGTAGGAATAAATTATTTTAATGCAATAATAAAAAAATTATTTTTAATTATTCATATATAAGAAAAAATTCAAAACAAAATCTGTATAGACTTACTTTAATCACATTGATTATGTTTAAATACATTTAAAATTCCTTATTTCTTGTTTAGTAGCAACCCAACTAAAGTTCCTGTGCATATTTTTAATGTGCTGCTAGATACGGATAAACAAATCAATGATGCTGCCATAAACTTCACTGGGGAAGTTCTTGGTTTCAGCTAAAGTGATTTGTCATCTAAACACTAAAGTTCCATTTTTGGTGGAGTCTATGGTCAGATATAAAAAACTACTTAAAAGACAAGTAGCTGATCACTATTACACTTTTACCAATTTTAAATTTGGTAAATCCCAGAGAATCAAATTCATTCACTGAGATAAGTGATTGACAAATACTTTAAAAATCCCAGAAAATTTCTCCAAAGTGTCACTAAAACCAGAATGCTAAATAATAGTACCTCTAACAACAATAATGAACTCTTCCTACCAGTTAGTACACTATAAAGTGAGAGTTTTGTCTTATTAGCGTCAGAGAGCTCTGAAATGAAATGACTCTATGAGCCTTAAAAATTTCTTGGCACAGGACAATAGTTCCTTGTCATCTACACGGTAAATCAATGTTATATAAATCAGACATCACAAATTCAAATGCTGGTGAGTCCTGTCCTATGATACAAATGAAGAAACAGACATGAGACAGAAGAGGCAATTAAAAACTTCAAAGTACACTGTTTAAAGGCTACTGCCATTATTCAGCTTAAGCTGACTATTATCATGCAGAAACATGGGTCCAGTATTGTTAGACATGGTCTTTAAGAAAAGTTGCTAACCTGAAATTTTATAAAAAATGTCCAATTTTGAAAATGTTATGTTGAACAAATATAACACCTCCATAGGTTTCATACTAATTATATGACCTATGGATATATTATATTTTAAATAACTCAATATTTGAAACATGTATTGAGACCACAGGATTGAAGCAAGAGAAAATCTAGGAATAAGAGACAGGAAAAAATTTGCTCCAGTAGAGAAAGTTGGTCCCAAGGGCTAAATTTGTATTAAAACAGGGAGAAACTGATGAGAAAAAGCAGGAATTGAATTTGTGGTAAAGAGCTAAGTGTCAGGTAAAGGTAGATTTCTTGAAATTATATTTTGTTGGATTTTGGAGTCCAGTAATCCTGGCTTCTGCTACTTACTTACTTACATAAGCTCTTTTATTTTGGGCATATTAATTCAATTTCATAACTGACTTTTCTTATTTGTAAAATGGGAATAATTAATTCAGCTTCCTGGAACTTTATAAGATTATGAAAAAGAAATGTTATTAATACCCAAAAGTAACAACAAGAATGTCTGCTACAGAAGATAGACTTGAAGGTTGTTAACCCATCTTTTTCTATCTTTTGTTGTTTGCTCTTATTTACTTTATGTCTGGAATTATGGAAAGTGGTTTGCAACAGGAAATATAAATCAATGATTTAGGTTGCATGCAAAATAAATAGGAGTTTAAGAAATAGCAAGCTAATATTCATAACTAACCATTGTACTTTTTCTCCTGAATAGCCATTCAAATAAAGAAATAATAAACAGGCATTCAAGTGATAAACCTGGACAGTGGTCATCACTATATGGGCACTGGCAGGGAGCACAAGAGATACAAAAACTGATTGTAGATTTTGCAAACTTCAGAAACTTGCTTACAGTATCATTTTCACTAATATAAAAAGAGCACATTTTAATTTATAGGAATTTTAAAAATATGGGTCCTATAATTTAATAATGTATGAAGGGAAAAGTGGGCCAGGTAACGCCTAAACACACAATGAGTTCTGTTATAGAATTGGGAAGCCTATGATTAGAGAACCCAAATCTTTTATAGTAGACAGTAAACCTGCCTGATGTTTGCTCCAAAAGGATATGTTATCTTTATTATACTGGACAGTAAACAAATCTGCCCTTTCTTCTACAAGGAAATACTACCTCTATCTTCCAAGTGTCTTCACTATACAAACATACTTGAAAATATAGGTCAAAACAAAAGCAGTCAGTATTTCGATAGACATGCAGAAATGACAGATTTGACAAAAGACATACACAAACTGGAGAATTATTTACCAATATTCTCCCATTAATAACTCTATCACACAATATAACTGTACCCAACTTTTATTATTGGTAGTCTTCTGAATTTCTCAATAATTATTTTTCTCTCTCCACTATAGAAAATAAAAATAATAGGTTTTATAACCATGGAGCATCATATCTTTAGTCCCTACTTTTCTGACTCCATGTATAACATTGAGGATTGTGAAAGGAAAATAAATTTGGGGGCCTCAAAATCACTAAGCTAAAGGAAAAAGTCATGCTGGGAACCGCTTAGGGCAAACTTGCCTCCCATTCTATTCAAAGTCATCCATCTGCTCACTGAGATAGATGCATATCTGATTGCCTCTTTTGGAAAGGCTGATCAGAAACTCACAAGAATACAACCATTTATCTCCCAACTACCTGTGACCTGGAAGCCCCCTCCCTGCATCAAATTGTCTATCCTTTCTTCACAGGACCAATGTACATCTTATGTATATTGATTAGTGTCTCATGTCTCCCTAAAATGTATAAAACCAAGCTGTACCCTGACCACCTTGGGCACATGTCATCAGGACCCCCTGAGGCTGTGTCACAGGCACACATCCTCAACCTTGGCAAAATAAACTTTCTAAATTAACTGAGATCTGTCTCAGATATTTGGAGTTCACAGGATTAAATAGTAAACTAAGCAAATCTTTGGCCTAAGGTGGCTCGTAGTCAAGAAAAGGAGCTAGATATGTAGGTAAGTCATGAATTGTATTGTAAAAGAAGTGCATACAAGGTTAAAACAGTAGAAAGGAAGCACTCGGTTTTGCGTAAGAGGCCCCTCTCTGCATGGTTCTCTATCTAGAAAAGCAGACTCTTTGTTTTTCAGAGGAGGTAAATTTCAAGCTGTGTTTTGAAGGATAAGTAGGTTTTTAGTAAATAAGGTAGAGGGATGGGATAGGAAAAAAGGTGCAGGCAATAGAAACAGACAAGACGTGCTTTAAGAAAAAGCACGATACATTATAGGATTTGTAAAGGCTTGTTATATTTAGAACATATGGTAAGTATGACAGGATAGAAAATGATTCTGAAAATTATAGGCATGCTGCATCACAAATGACATTCCATTGTAAGGTATGTGGACTTCGATCTAAGATAGCAGAAACCAATAAAAATTTAAGTAAGTATATCAATTTGATATGACACTACCACTTTCCAGCCCAGGGAGAGTAATGGCGATTCCTTATTCTGTATATGCATGGCCCTTTACTTGATGCACAGATGTTAATAAAAACTACAAGAGATAATTTCTTATTCTTCTTGAAATCTAGTTCAGAAAAATTATAGTGCATTCTGATAGCAAAAAAGGAGGTGGAGAATTTTGCTTGCAATTAAGTATTCAATAAGCTGGTTCATTCACACATGGTTGGAAAAGGTAAAATACTTAAGGTTTCTGACAATTTAATCACAGTAGCACTGGCTTGCAATGGTAGTAGGAGTGGTAGGCCAAAAAGCCTATTCTAGTTGACTCGGACTAGTCAAGGTTTACTGTCAATGAGCCCTTCGCTATATAGGGTTAGTTGAGTGTATTTCTGACGTTTATTTTGGAGTGGTCAGGCAAGGTATTGAAAAGGCAACTCAATGAAATCAAAAGTGACCAGATGTTTAGGGATTATTTTCCCCAAATGCATCAAGTATATGCAGACATTCAGGGAAAAATATTTTTTTAGGAGAAACAGAACAAACAACAACAACAAAAAACTGCACCTATCCTTTAAAGAGCACCCTTGAAAAATACTAGTTGTCATTTTTGAGCACATGCAATGTTCAAGACACTAAAAGAGTGATGAGTTTTATATATATTTAATGTAATTATTGATATGGCCAAAACAAAATAGGTATAGTTTTTTACACTTTTTTTTTTTTTACAAATGACGAAACTGAGACACAGGTGTTAAATTATCTTCTTCAAAGTCATAAAAGGACTAAATCAAGATTCAAAGATTCACAATAAGATAGTCTGCCTCCAGAGGCCATATTCTTAAAAGCAGTTACGTACTTAAATAGAAGACAATGATCACATTGAAATTTCAAACACTGTTGATAGCTATAATGTAAGCTATCAGCCACTTTACAAGTTGCTTGTTGATCGGCCCCTTTATTTCTAAGGCCTACAGTCTTTAATTTCTCTAGGGCAGAGTGTAAGAAAAAAAGACTTCTCTATTTGAAAGTGGGTTTTGCTTGGGAATTGTACAGAGAGACTCCTTACCAAGATGAGTTGTGACACAGAGCTGTTTGGTTTGGGGAACATCTCTGAGTTGCACTGTGGAAGTAGGTTTGGTAGGGATGGGCAATGTTATACACAAGGAGATTGGATAGTCTCTAAAGTGAAAAATCAATGTGTATTTAAAGAAGTTAGTGATAGAAATAGAAAGGCACAAATTACAATCGGTATCTTGGCGATAAAACCAGAAAACTTAGTAATTAATTAAATTATGAATTTATAAAAAGAGTAAGTAGGTCCTGTGATGACTGGAAAAACTATGTTCTCAATGTAGAAGAGTTTCCTCAAAAGAAAGAGCAGGCTTCAGGTATTTCTGTTGCTGGATTTCTGTTGCCTGTTGGTAATCCAAGTAGAGGTGTCCAATGAGTAGCTTTTGAACATGTTCTTGGTGAAAGAGTAAAATCTAGGATGGATCTCAAATGGGTAGCCACAAGTCTATTTTGAGTGTTAGAAGCCATAGGAATGGGAAGATTACCTAGAAACAGGGTGCAGAATGAAGCAAAATAATTCTGAGGAGCTCTGAGGAATGTCCTGGTATCAAAAGAAGATGGGAATGGATATTCATAGAGAAGAGATTGAAAATAGCATAGTTTCATAGACACCAAAGAGGTTTCTAAAAGCGAAATGCTTTCAACCAGGTTTGACTCTGATAAGAAGTAAAATTATTTTACTAATTGTGCCAAATATAAGATTGCTGGTGACCTTAGCGAGTGGCTCCTACTAGTCCTTTAAAAGGCACTTGCTAAAGCCACCAACAGTCAATCTGTGTAAATATGAATTAAAAACGTAAGAAAGAATTAAATTACTCTTTCAAGAAGTAAAAGCATTAGGTAGAAGAATAATAATAGAGTTATATCACTAGGGGACACATTGTCAAAGAATATTTTTGTTAGTTTTAGAGACAAAATATCTGAAAAATTTTTAGAGATGTGAAGAAGCGGTATAAAGTGGCAGTTTGAAATTAGGAAACATGATAATTTATGAAGCATAAAATGTCTTAGAATAGAGCTAGAACACTAATATTCCATTTTTTTCATATATGTTTACATTATTATCTCCAGTTTAAAGATGAGAAGGCAGAGATATGAAGCAAAAGACTCTAACAAAGGAACATACCAAAAAAAGTGTGAGAGAAAGAGAAAACCCAAATGTGAATTAAACCATTAAGGTTTGCTTTTCTATTATACAATGTGCTACAATAAGAATATAGGATTGTAGCCTGGGCAACATGGCAAAACCTCATCTCTACAAAGAAAAAAAAACACACATATATAAAAATATATATACATACACACAAAATTACCTGGGTGTATGGTGGTACATACCTATAGTCACAGCTACCTGGGAGGCTGAGGTAGGAGAATCACTTAGCCCAGGAGACTGATGCTGAAGTGAGCTGTGATGATGCCACTGCACTCCAGCCTGGGCAACAGAGTGAGACCCTGTCTCAAATATATATATATATATATATATATATATATACACAAAACATTTATATATAAAATTTACATATATATCCTTATATATTTTATATATAAAATATATATATGTGAGTCAAGATTTGTATACTGCCATATGTACACACACACACATCACGCTGACAGTATAAAACAACATACACGTTCACTTAACTAAAAAGTATTTAGTTCAAACCACACTTCAAGAGAAATCAATTGTCACTTTCTCTTTTTGAGCCCCTATATGATTTAAATTTTCAATCAACTATATTTCTTCAAATTGACTACTTTGATATTTGAAATTACTTAAATAAGCTTATATATGTGTACTCAAATAATGTTGGTCTTAAAATGATCACTATATATTTCAGTTTATTTGCTATGCAAATATTTGTAATCTATTATAGCCATTCTTTCAACAGCAAAAAATAAATATAAAACATACAATGGCCATTATATTATAGCTGCTCTTCTATACAGTAGATGTGTATAAAAATGTATGTATCACCTTACATTAGTGGGTGCAGGGGACGTGGAGAGTAAGATGTACCACCATCTCTTCAAACAGCTTGCAAACTGATTTAAAAATATATATATACTCAGCATTTGTAGGACATTCTTTTCATCCCATTTTGTTTGCAAACAAGTTTATCTGCGTGACTTATCCAATGCCAGGTGTGGATAGGCTGCTAAATTTGCATTGATTTATTTAAAGTACTTTTTGTGATCAAATGCAGATATTTGCAAGAAGGCTAGCTGCAATGAAAAATCTATTTGTAGCCAAGTAACAAAGTGAGGGAAGGCCACATCCATGACTTTGACCTTATTAGCATGGTGTTCTGAACCACTCCATTAACTGGCCACAGAGATATTGATAAATATGCACATATATAAAGACAGAGTGCCTAACATAATGTGTTCTAAACAGATTCTCCTATGAAGCAATTTGCATTTTCAAAAATATATGAATCTATTCATATTTTCAAAGTTGATAAGAAGATACTGTAAAAATATCCCTTTAACTTTCTACCAAATTAAATGCCAATGCAAATAAAATTGCTGAGATTTGAAACACAATAATCTATGTTCTTTGTTTAGACAAAATGTAATCTCTATTATACAAAAATGAACACCAGATTTCTAGTAAATTATTTATGTTGACTGATACACATGATGGTCAGAGTTGGAGATACTGTCAAGCCAAAGCACCAGAATAAGAAATGGTATCAAGCACTATCAATAATGAGTTGCTTCCCTTTTAGGTTTCCATATTACTTTGTTCTCATATATACTAGTAAATGTCCATGTTGTACTCTAATTTGTTGCTTACATTTTATGCCATGAAGGGATGAGTCTCTAAATAGCTGTACCATATCTTTGTCTTCTTGAAATTTCTGTCATTTTCCAATGTTTCTGCCTATAGTATATTTTCAGTTAATGCTAATTTTATAAGGCAGTGGATTAGTATTTCATTCTGTCTTTCTATTATCATCATCAATAATCATAAGACATTATAATAGACCTTATACTTACAAAGACTGTAACAAAAACATATATTCACATATTAAGAAAATATTTATGGTGGAGGTTTCAGTTATATCAATCTGGTCTGATTTAGAAACTGATAATTATTTTTAGAGGTGCCTCCAATATGTTGCTTTTTTATTTTTTATTTTAACGTATTCAGAAATAGATATCTTATTTAATCATTGTGTCAGTTATGATAAAGTTGTCTATTGCTGCCCCTAGAAGATAACTATTTGATCATTAATCCGTAACTGGATACTCATCCAGTCCTATATATTTCCTCCCACTGAGAGATTAAGTTGTCTTACTAAGATTTTGTTGTTAATATTTTTCTTGTTCTTTTTTTTTCTTTTTCCTTTTCTTTTTTATTTGGCTTAAAGAGCCACGTAATAACATGGAAACACAGAAATACATACATATTGACATCGCTGTAACTAATCAGGATAAGAACAACAATACAGTTTTGTCTTTATTGATTAGAGACATTGGAAAGAGAACAAAGGTTAATTTAATGCAATATTGGTTAGGAGATTGGAAATATTTTTCTCTAAAGACCATAAAGCCAACTATCATAATGGGATTCTCACTTTGCCTTAAAACAAGTCAGAATGAATCCATTCTATTTCACAAATGGCAACAAATCTCTTAGATTTATTGTAATATTTTAGTCAAATAAACATCTAAAAACTTAGCACACAAAAGACTAAACATGAGGCATAAAACTGAAAACAGAAGTGTAAAAATAAATCAGAGCAATTGTTCCCATCTCCATGGAATCTCAGGATTGCCAGGCCTTACAAGGTCCCTATGATGATCAGAGAGAGTAAAGTAATTCTCTAACTAAGCCTGCATGTCAAGGAAGTCACTTTACTCTGCCCACAGCCCAATTAACTAGCTTTGGATTCCAAGAGGTAATGATCAGCTAATTAAATTACCTTTGGATGATCAACAAGAAAACTGCTTCTACCACATTTACTCACCTCTTTTTCAGCAAGAATAATGCTTCATGATTTAATTGTAAACATCATTGACCTGATGGAAGGATCAGAGAAAATTCCTTAAAAGATCTCAAAACTCATTACTATGGGTATTTTTTCCCTTGAAGTAAAAATGACAATCATTTGTTTAGGCCTACAAGGTGAACCTGGGACCAATGGGAGAGGGTGTATAGACATAAATACGATATCCCACTTTAAAATCCAATTTTGACCAGTGAGGTGAGAAATAATGGAATACTGCTCACATTTCCTCCTTTTAAATGCAATCAATCTGGGTAAATGGGAAGAGGAGAATAGAACAGTTTTTTTTTCCCTTCTTTGCATAGATAATGACTAATCATTATTTAAGTCCACTACCTGTATCAAAAACAAGCCTGTGATTCTTAATGCTATAATTCTTTACTTTCACTGGCTTTGCTTCTGTATTTTAAGGTAATTCTCATCATCATCAAAATTATCATTATCAGCACCAATTCACAATACAGTATTTATTGAATACTTACTATTTGCCAAACTATGCTAAATAATTAAAATGTAATATCTGGCTTAATTCATAATTTACCATTGCTTTCTCCATTTTAAAATGGAAGAAATTGAGGCCTATGAAGAATAAATTGTAAATCTAAAAAATTGACTTGAACTCAGAATGATCCAAGAACCTGATTTTTAACCACTTCCCAAAAATATAATGTAAATGGCTGAGCTATATTATGAGGGGGGAAAGGAAATTATAATTACATAGCTAAAAGTACAGTGTCTTCATACATAAGAAACTGTCAGAAAAAAAGGCAAGATATCCAAAATCCATTCTGTTTGTCTTTGTTTTAGCCTGTTAATGGTCTAGCATCTGTCACTTTTTGGCCAATTCTAATGAGAAGTTAAAATGATCTGTAATAATAAGTCACTGGATACAGAGTTAGATTTCTTTTAACTACAGACAATAGAACCCTCTAATACTTTACACTATTATAATGTGCATCCATATGTTATTCTAAAGAGCTTTAAAGGATAAAAACTGATCTGCTACGGAAAATTATATAAAGATTGCCAAACAAAACACACATGCTTTGACTCTAGAAGAGAGCATTTCCCAAGATATGTTTCTACTCTTTAGCTAAATGCTAAATATTCTCCATATATTCCTCCCAAAGAGGGAGATTTAAGACAATAATTAATGTCTATTCTAGATCACACAATTTGGTTTATAGCTCCCAGTTGATGGCTAGAAAATGTGAAATTTATTTCTGCAGACCAAAAACACACTGAAAACACACTGATGACTGCAAATCTGTTTAGAGGGTAGAATGCAGCTAGTTGGAATGGAATAGGGTTGGAAAGTAGAGGGACATCTGGGATAATTCAATGTAAGTTGTGTTCTTTCTAGAGAGGAATCAGAAATTGACTGGAAATTATTAAATCTAAAAGAGGAATCACTATACATACCAATGTTCTTGTCAGATTTTGTTCGTGTGTATTGAAAATCATAGTTTCATTTTAATATGTGAAGCTCTTTTTATAATACAATAATATAGGTTCAGCAGAATATTATATAAATTGAACGAATCCCTCCAAATAGGAGTAACTTACTTAATAATTATGTGCAGAATTGAGAAATTACCTGCAAGCAGAAAAATAAACAGAACACTTCACACAGATTATCCAGCAACAGCCTCCACATATGCACGCACACACACTCTCGAACTCTTCTAACATGGGCATGTATACACTCACACGTGAAAGTAAGAGATGCATATGTCATTTCCGTTTTCTAGATTAATAGCTAAAAATATAAAATTGCAAATAAATGGACTACCATCTGGTAAGAAAGTAAGTACGATGATCCTAGGTATACCCTGTTCCTTGGTCTACATCATTAAACTATATTTCTTCTTTTATTGGCTTCAATTACCTGTATTGCATCTTCTAAAGCGCAAGAATAAATACTTGTTTAGATGAGAGTTGGTGCTATTTTGTTTAGAAGAGTGAAAGCAGAGAGGCTTTATAATGCAGAATAAAATAGAGACAAACTTAAAATGTAACAGGCAGTTAGTGAGGAATCCTGTTTTAGATAAGCTTATACTAAAAAAGTATACAGAAAATGATGCAGAGTTTTTCTCATTCTGTGTAGGATATTTTCATCTCTGTTATTTCAAATCTTTAACAATTCTAAGTGTTTCTAAAATCCCAAATGTAGCAAGTAAGGAGATTTTCAGTTATATAATAAACTTTTTCTTTCTCAGGGAAAAGTATTTCACTTAAATAAGGTAAGGATGACAAGGAACATATAACAGTAAATAAAATATAGCAAACTAAGTATTTCTTATTTAACGGCATTCTTACTCTATAATAATCAGTCCTAATTTTTCTTCTATCAAACGATTTATGTAGTGTTATGAGCTCTACTTGGAAAGCTATTTTATCCATTTTATATTCTTCCAAGAAGTCTAGGAGCCTACTTAGGCATCTATAATCAGAAACATTGGATCTTGGCAAATTAGACTTAATAAATCCTCATTCTCTACTCACTAGAAAAAAATCATGAAGGAATGAAAGAGTATTGGCCTAAATCTCTGTCAAACCTCACCTTTAATTTGCAGGACCCTTGAGAAATGTGAAACTATCCTATAAGAGATTTGACTTTTTAGTCCAAGAAACATGAAAGAGACCAAAGTTGAATGTGCAGTCAAGGAGGGAGTGGAGGCCACTCTGGCAGGATGCACACCCACAAACACTTGTGAACAAAGTAAATATTGGTTCTAGGTTTTCTTTTTAGAGTTATTTGAGTATCTAGTAATGCTAGAAAATAATGAAGGTTTTCACATCAGCAAATGTTCAGGACAAAATCCTAGCTATCAAATTAGAATTCACACATATACTCACGCACACATATATCAAGAAACTTGGTAAATGATGCTATTAGTTATTTAGAATTTATTTCTTGTTATTCTTAAATCAGAATTATAGAATCTCTGAGCCAGGAACGTCATCAAATAAATTATCTATTTTATTTAACTTACAATCAATTTTCTCTTACCTCTAAAAATATATACTTCCAAAACATCTCCTTTTTTTAATCTTTTTCGATTTTTACTGATTAATTCCAGATTATATTTCCATCAAAAATTATTTTTCTTAAATTGATTTCAAAAAGAATCATGGGGAGAATGTATAGTACTCTCTTCACACAATAAGAAAGATGACTTTGACAGATGGTCCTTCTGTGTTTATTAGTAGGTGAAGCTGAGTTTGAACACCCAAGAGTTAAGAGCTGAAACTGAAGAATTCAGATGTTATCCAAAAATATCCTTCAGCCCAAACTCATTCCAATTTCCTACATTTTATTCTTTAACAATGTTTCTTCCAGAAAGATAATGGTATACTTTTCTGTCTTTAGTAAGTGCTAGATGAACCAAAAAGGAGCGACACATTATTGATTACAATCTGAATTTCTAACAAGAACCCAAAGTTTACATTTAATTCAAAAATACCTAATCAAATAAAATGAATTAAGAATAAAACAGTTTTGTCATTATTTTCTGGTTATGAAAAATATAGAACTTATAATGTCAGGCAAATTGACTGCAGGTGGCCCCCAATTTAAGATAGTTTGACCTAAGAATTTTCAGCTTTATGATGGTGTGTGAAGGTGGTATACATTCGATAGAAACTGTACTTTGAGTACTCATACAACCATTCTGTTTTTCACCTTCAGCTCAGCATTTAATAAGTTATATGAGATATTCAATACTTTATTACAAAATCAGCTTTGTATTAGATGATTTTTTTCCCAATTGTAGGCTAATGAAAATGTTATGAATCACATTTAAGGTAGGCTAGGCTAAGCTATGATATTTGGTAAGTTAGGTGTATTAAATGCACTTAATTATATTTTATGATGGGTTATTAAAACTTCGTTATAAGTTGAGGAGCATCTGTAAGCATATTTGAAGTGATTTCCAGTGATTTTTATTGTAATACTGTCTTTAAATTTATATTTTATAGGGTATATTCTATGATATCTTATCCTTCATAAACATTAGCAAGTGTTATATATCTACACAAGGGTATTCCATTATATGATGGCATGAAATATATATACATGGATAAGTGGATATGGGGTTCATGAGTTGTTTTGGGTATTCTATCTAACTTAGTTTATAAATTATTATTTAAATTGTAACAACACGGAAATCAACTGACATTTTTCAACCAAACGTCAGTTTGAAGGGAATTTGTGTTCTGCATGGTAAAGGCAATGACATTTACTTGTGATTTTTAAAAGTAAGCCTAAAAAACTTCTGAAATCAGTTTATTTTCCCTGAAGTTTACCAAATTTATTGTATATAGCTCTGAACTATTACCAAGAGAGAGAATTATACTACTATTGAATTATTTGTCTTTTATCCATGTATATCAAAGCACTTAGTAAACATAAAGTTCTTTTTTAAATAAAGTATATAAAAATGTGTTGACTTATTAAGGCACTGCCTCTGGCAGAGGCAAAGATTACTAAAATGGATTATTCATTGGCTTGATATTCAAGACTACCCATTTACTTATCCATTGACCGACTGTCTCTAAGGCAACAAGAGCTTTAGCACAGCATTGTGAGCAAGTACCCATTAAGAAAATGCTTTTCACACAAGAAAGCCCATCTGACTCTTAAACACGTTCTAATAGAAGAGATCTCAAAAGCTCATAGAAAATTGCCTTGTTTCCAGTAAACGGAACCACCCTTCAAGTATGTTTACTGAATGCAGTAAGGCAACTCGTGCCCAGATATGAAAAGTTTCCACCTTTTGAAAAGTATGTCTAGAGCCTTGTAAAGTATAGAAACGTATGAAGATTTCTCACTTTTATTCCTTCGGAAAATTAAGATGGAACTTTAAAAAAGGTCACAAGAAAGACCAGTGAAAGCTTTTATGGAGAGTTTCTACTTCCCTGAAGAATACATAATCTGTCAAGAGATGGATCAGATTACTACCATTGAAATAACTGCTTAGATTTAGTTCAACTAGAATCACTAAAGATACATATCCTCAGGTTTTAATAAAGAAAACAACTAAAATTGTACTTAATATTTCACATCCAAAGTTTTAAATGTACAGATTAATCTGTTGCCTACAAACTACATATTACCACATATAAGTATATTCTCATTATGCTTTAAAATTTGAGAGCTTACTGTATGTAATTATGTTTAAAAACTGTCACAAATTATGCATTTTTCAAAAACCCAGCAATGTAGCAAAATTTAATATTGTATAAATCAACAAGAACATATTTGAGTGTTATTGTGAGCCATCTGATTGAGGGATACTATTTTAATGATTTATCTTTATTTCCTCCATTTTAGTAAACAATATATGTTGTTCCAGTCAAAAAGTTTACTTATATACACATTCACATAATTTCAGAATGTTTTAGAAAGTTTTTTTAAAGTGCTGGCCTCATAGTATTAAAATGTGATAATTATTACACAAACTATACTCAAAGTTTTTTTTATAAAAACTTACCCAAATAAAAGAGATCAAAAGAGTTTAAAGCTATAGGTGGTAATGAAAACCTAAATGGAACACAATGGATGTATAAGCCTAATTTCAAATGACCAATATGATTTATACACATATATTATCTACATTTACATAATTGATAGGTAGCCATTCTCAAGTCTTTCAGAGAGATGTTTATGATACATAGGTAACTCATAAAAACATGTTACAAAAGGCCATTTGCAGATGATCATTTATAAATTAAAATATTTGGAATATATAGAGATGAAGTATAGGAATAACATTTTGAAGTATTTTTTAAAGTTCAGTTATTGGTTATCTAATTCTATTTCACATCCTTTATCAGCAACAAAACTGGGAGTTCATGCTAACATGTTGCAGAGAAAGGATAATAAATTATCACATACTACTGCAAAAGAAGCTAATTCATGACATTTAAATTCTAGGTAAGCTTGGAATTCCTAGCTATTGCTATGAGGAAAAGTTTTTGTGTGGCAAGAACCTGATTTTTTTTTTAATTTAAGCGTTTAAGCCTTACAAAGTTCCAAGATAAGCCATATGGTGTACATGAAGAGGTAGTGTATGCTATCACATAAATCAGATTTTCCAAAACATCTTGGTTTGGGAAGCAGAAGGGAATGTACTGAGAGGTCCTGTACCCTATACCCTGTACCCATTCCCCAGACCCACATTTCTGCAGACTTCATCTGTTGAAGAAGGGATTATGAAACTGGTACACGAGTTTGAGTATCTGAGCACAAATGAGATGTGTATCTTTCTTTTTTAGGGGAGTCCATGAAATAATTAAGATCTAGAACAAACTTCCCCCCAAAATCTCCTCAACAACCATGTGATGATCTAGGATTGATGGATGTAGTGTCATGGAGTGCCTAAAGAATAGTTCAAAAACAGTCTGTTATATTTTCTAAGGTCCCAGAATGACAGAGACCAAAATCTAACATTTTTACACTCTCAAGGGAGAATGAAAGCCCAATAAAATGTGAATACCTGAGGCAGCAAAACAATAAAAGCTAGAGATTTTGCCTTCTTCAGCTTGTGTCCTGAGAACATTATTTTCTCTGTGTGTGGTGTGTATATGTGTACATGTGTTATTAGAAATGTAGAAAGGCTACTGTAAGACAAGTGCTGAAATGTTAAGAGTAGTATTCTCTTGGTGGGCAATCATGTATGATTTTTATTTCCTGCTTGTTTCTATAACTTAATTTTCATATATTTCCTTCCTAATAAATTTAAATTAATGTAAAAGCTAAATTGCTAGCTACAAAGATTGCCTGCTTTGTACTCCTTATTATCATAAATTTATTTTTTAATAAATACAAATTAACAATTAAAATTAAGGGGAAAGCTGTGATAATGACACCAAGAACTATAAGCCAACAGAAGATATGGGCTTCTTTTCTTGGAATAATTTACCAGAGACTGAATAAGGTAATTTTTCTTATCCAGATGGAAAAAGAAAAGAAAAATAATGGAGTAACTTTTTATAATGTGCGAAGACATTCCTTGATTGTAGCCATCAAGGAACATTTGTAAAATTAATCAGGAAAAAAATAGAGAGTTCACCCAATGAAGCAATCTGTTATTTGGAGCAATCTTTAGAAAATTGTCAATAAAAAGAAAGTAACAAATGTGCATAATAATAAAATAACACCAATATTTTAATTATAAAGACCTAAACAAGTTTACAAATTAATGCAGATAAACAAACATTACCTTTAGCCCAATAGTAATAACTTATTATGTTCCTAGATAGTTCATGGCATCCTAAAACTTTCTATGTCAGTAATGGTTAGTCATTACCATCTCCAAATACACATCCATTTACTCTCAACGTAGTTTCACATAGTTTTAAAGGATGTGACATCCTTTAGTCCTAATTTCCCTGGTATCAGATTATGCTGGCCATTATTTCTTTCCCATAGAAAATAAGAAATTTTGCTGTCTAAATGTATCATGTTAAGTTATTTCTGTCTGATATCTACTATTCTCCTTTAAACTCGATTATGTTTTTTATTATTTCTGAGAGTTCTTTCTTTCTCTGAATACAGAGGTTAACATTTTTCTACACTAAAATGAGCAACATAGACACAGAACAAAGAACATAGAAACAGAGAGTCGAAGGGTGGTTACCATCGTTCTGGGGCTAAGAGAAATAAAGAGATGTGATCCAATGGTACAAAGTTGTAGTTACAAGAGGAATAAGTTTTGGAGAGCTAATGTACAGCATGATGACCATGAATAGTAACAATGTCTTATATACTTGAAATTTGCTGATAGAGTAGATCTTAAGTATTGTTACCACACACACAGAAAAGGTAACTATGTGAGGTGATAAATATGTTAAGAAGTTTGATTGTACCAATTATTTCACAGTGTAAACATCTATCACTACATCACATTGTACTTCATAAATACATGCAATTTTTATTTATCTGCTATACTTCCATCAAGCTGATAAAACACATGTAAATAAAATAAAGCAAATAATTCATCAGGTAAAACAGAAGAGGGGAAGTTGAAGGAAATACTTTCCATAAATAACAGTGAATAAAATCACAATCTGGGCTGAAATATTTTTTTATTAATGGGAAATATCAGAAGATTATAGGGAGCACATGGTTTATATAAGGCCACCTTGAACAAAAATAAAGCATTAAAAAATTAGAACTTGGCCACGCTTGGGGGTTCACACCTGTAATCCCAGCACTTTGGGAGTCCGGGAGTTTGAGACCAGCCTGGGTGACATCATGAGACTCTGTCTTTACAAAAAATACAATAAGAAATTAGCCAGACGTGATGGTACCTGCCTGTACTCCCAGTTATTCAGGAGACAGGAGGATTTCTTAAGACCAAGAGTTTGAGGCTGCAGTGAGACATGATTAGGCCACTGCACTCCAGCCCAGAGACCTTGTCTCAAAAAAAACAAAAAACAAAAAACAAAAAAAGGGGGGAACCCTTTTATTTCAAGTCAGTAATTACATAGTGCCCCTCTATGTAGTGAAGATAAACATTCTAGTGTTCATAGATCATGTGGTGGAAAGAGTTCAAATGAACTTGTGAAGATAAACCTGGAGAGAATAAGCAGAGCAAATTGAAAAACTATGGCATTGAAGGCTTTGTCCTTTGTCTTTTTGAAGATAATTTTACTTTCTCTATCTCCCTCTGATGTAATATAAGTCATAAAATGTTTGTGACCTTAAAGATCTTCTTAGGTTTAATCCATGGCAATAAGCATAACATAAATAGAAATATACAGACCATGCCTACTCAATGTTCTCCATTCTGAAGTGCGTAAATCAAGTGTGCTGAAACAATGAATGGAACCCTTTCAGATCCATAAGTTGTAATCACTATTAATTCTCTTTCATTTTTATCATGCCATTCTGTGCTTGATCTTTGTAGAAAAGACACAGAAAACTGTGTTTAGAATATCCAAAAGTCATGAAAAAAAAAATAAAGAAGAACCGCAAATCTCATCAGAACTTCTGTTTTGTGAGGTTCTGGGATCCAGTTTTTTTCACTTGACAGCATTGTTGTAGATAAGCTTTAATTAAATTTTCTGACATTTTACTTGGCTGAACTGAACTTAACCCAGTCAATAGATTTCTATATGTTACTTGAAGTTTGTTTATCTAATAGATGGATTTTAAGTAGAGAGTATATGTAGAAAAACATAAATTAACATGTTGGCCAGAATTACTTATCTCAAGGTAGAATGTGCACCATATGGCTGCTTCGCTCCAAGCTAATATGTTATAATTGAATCATCTCCATATCTAATAAAACAGGAAGTCAAAAGGAATATTCATGTATAATTTAACAAGCATTAGGTCTGTGTAGAAATATTTTATGGCAGAGTAAGGGGAACAATACTGACAGAGTATATCACTATAATGATAAATCATACTGTGAATGATTTGTTTCAAGAATAATGATTGAAGCTCAACTTGCAAATCTAAGGCAAATCAATATTTTAATTTCATTCCTTGATGCATTGATTCCAAAGATTTTAATTTCATTCCTTTAAAGCACTTATTCATATTTGAAAATTCCCTTCCCCAGTGAAAATCATTATCTGCATTCAAACTACTTATATTGTTTGAATATATAAAAATATATAAAATAGAAAGTCAATGCTATGCACACAATGAAATGCCTTAGAATATTAAGGTCATTCATTAGATGTCATAGAGAAAATTGTAATGTGATTTTGCATATACATTGATAGTGAATAAATGACTAATTTCGCTATATTCACCATATGCCCAACATTGGTAGATATAAATTTTATTTCACAGGCTATGGCTATTAAATTTCAGGATTTTAGAAATCAAGTTACTACATCACTCAGGATGCATATATACACATCTTTGACATGAGAAACTAAATATAATCAATATTGAGGCAACTGATTACAATCATGGAAGAGGCTCTATATTTACGGTGAAATCTGCTCTATTTTATTATACTAAACCCAGTAAAGCAATATGACGCAGGGCCATAACTAGCCTACTCGAACTATTTTCTCTTATTCGTCAATTTCATGAGCAAAACACCATGCACATGGTAATTAAGGCACATGTCTTAAACACAAATAAAATGTAACTCCTAACATTCTACACAAACCTGCTTTACCCATGACCTTTCTCCTTTCTGTTGATGATTATTCCACCCTTCCAGTTGCCCAAGTCAGGTAACCTAGAAGTCATTCTTGACACACCTCTAGTTTTTACGTCTTCCATCTAATTTCTCAGGCAATCCTCTTGTCTCTAATTCCAAAATATACATGGAATCAAGTGGCTTCTAAGTACCCCCATTTTTACCTCCACTTTCACCTGCATGCTGCAGTAGCTTCCTGGCAGGTCTCCCTGTGTAGCCCCTTCAGCCTACTCTCCACATGGCAGTGAGCCTTTAAAAACCACAAAATCTATAGTTCCTCTTTTTTTATTTTGAGATGGAGTTTCACTCTGTCACCCAGGCTGGAGTGTAGCGGCGCGATCTCGGCTCACTGCAACCTCTGCCTCCCAGGTTCAAGCGATTCTCCTGTCTCAGCCTCCCAAGTAGCCAGGATTACAGGCACACGCCACCAAGCCCAGCTAATTTTTTTGTATTTTCAGTAGAAACAGGGTTTCACTGTGTTGCCCAGGCTAGTCTCGAACTCCTGAGCTCAGGCAATCCACCCACCTCCGCCTCCCAAAGTGCAAGGATTACAGGCCTGAGTCACCTGGCCCGACCTATAGTTCCTCTCTTAAAAACTTTCCAATAGCTTTCAGTTTCATTAGACTGAAAGTAAAAAGTTTTTAAAATGAATTGTAAGGCCCCATGTGAACGTTGTTTCCAATTCTGAACCTCATTTTCTACCAGAGGCTTGTGATATCAGCTCCCTTGTGTTCCCTCTGATTTTACTTACCTCGCGTGGCCAGTGTCATCTACTCAAAACATGAATCAGATGGTGTTTCTCTCTTACTTAAAAATCCTCAGAGCCTTCCTCTTTCTGTAAAAATAAAATCTGAGCTTTTGTATATAGCATATAGGCTTCATACTCCCTTATCTACTCTGACCTCATCCCTGGGCATACCAGCTTTTTTTTTTTTTTCTCAAACTTGCTAAGCTGACTCCTCCCTCAGAGTTGGTGTAGCCCATTTCATTTGTATGAAATATACTTCCCCAGATAACTACAGGCCTACTGTTTTCGCCTTTGGATCTTAGCTGAGATCATTTATGTATACTATCTCAGAAAATAGTTATCAACCACATATTATGTACCATTCTTTCTTCATTTTCTCTTATATAACTTATTCTTTTTCACAGCACTTATTGTATTTTTATTTCTTTAATTTTTAAAATTTATTTTAACTCTATCTTCAATGCTAGCTCCAAGAGAATAGGGTCTGCATTTTTTTTTCGTGTTCACTACAGTGTCTCCAATACCTAAAACAGCACCTAGCATATAGTAGGTGCTCAATAAACATTACTGAAATCACTAGAAACTCCAAACAATTTTTAAATTCCATAGTTGCTTGATTTTAAGCATGTTTCATTTTCAAGTGGTAAAACTTTAAACCAGGAACAACTCATCGCAAATTGTTTGATTATCAACTTTCATAAGAAGTATTTCGACCTTTTAGTGAGACAGGAATTTATGTTAAGGCTGATTTATAACTACAGAGCTAATATTTCTTTTTTTTCTCATTCATTTTAGGTTTAGAGTAGCTGATCTTCATGAATACTGGATCAGAATCCATAAGCATACTCCCTATAGTGCATGTTTTATTTCTGAAAGCCTGGGGAAGAGGATTTTGTAATTAATAATTATGTTGTCTTTCCAGCTATACCATATATTGTAATTGAAAATGCAGTACATAAGAGTATGGTATTCTCCAGAACACTGTTGATCTGGGCCCTCATTCCTACTTGGGTGAAGATTGCTCAACAGCCTTTATTCCTCACATCACTCTTGCATGGCTTCAATAGCAAGGAAAAAAGTACCTTATGATAGCACTGCTTTTGTTTATTCTTTTAATAAAAGTAATTATTAATAAAATTCCTCTTCAGTAACCCTCACATCTTGCCTCAGAAGATCTTCCTTAAGACAACTCGTGAGTATCAGCTTTTAGAGCAATCTGATAACATCAGGAAGTCTTCATCTGACATGTAAAAAAATACATACATTCAGCGAGTTAAATATTATCTAAGATAGATAGATGATAGATGGATAGATAGATAGATAGATAGATAGAGAAATTCTGCAAGAGTTAGGGAAAATATACTTAGCACTAATTTTTATTTCTATAACATATTCATGCTACAATGCTGAAGTTTTGTAGCTATTTACATGACCCCAATACTAGGAATAATGGCATATGGGAGAAGTAGCTCTGTAAGAGATATTTGTTATTTTTCACAAAATATTCATAGCCATAAATAGTCAACCATCTTAAATGTAATCTTTTGATTATATTATTTGTTAATAACATCAACAAAGATTGTGTAATGAAGGCATTAAGTTCATATATTTGAGTAAAATTCACAACATGTCATTTCAATACTAATTTCACTAAGTTCACAGTCTGTTAACTCAGGCTTAGTATTTTAAATGGTAGTAGCAGTATTTCTCATAATGATAATAATACTGATTATCATCATTGTCATCTTTTTAATTAAAGAGCCCATTCTTCCAATTGCCATGCATTTATGGGCTATAGAAAATATAGCTGCATAACATTGTCTTATTAATTTAAAACTGGTAACTTTTGTTTGGGATTCATTTGTACAGGAATAAGTTTGGAGTAATATTTTCTAAAAAAGAATATGATTGAAATTTGGTTCTCAGATCAGTTCCTCAAGGTCAGAGTAAAGAAGTTCTGTCACTGAGGAGTACTTTGCTTTATTTCTTCACAGGCTTCTTTCATAGGATGCTACAATTCTACATTATTCCTCATGCAGAATATGTGTACAAAACTGTTCAGAGCCCCCAAACCTTACAATACAATGGAAACGGAAATGGTAGTAAGCAGTTAAAAACTGATAAATACGTATTTATCTAGAAAGTCATTAACTATATATTTTTAGGCAAAATAATTTTAAAAATTACAAAATTACATGTGAAATATGAGTAAATTTGTATTTTGAAAATAATATGTGTAAATATATAAGTAAACAGCATGCTAATAATAAGTTTTCCTGAGTGATGTAATTGTAACTTTTAGATATAAGTATAGATATTTGAGTACATTATAATTTTATTCAGTGGATATAGATGTGTGGATATAATTGTAAAAACTATTTTAAAAAAGAACACAACAAAGATGCAGAGAGTTAATTTCCATCATCTACATTTTACACCGTGCTACTAACAAACAGACTGTGTTGGCTGTAATGCGGAAAGATTTTTAAAACTCGATAACCTCCTTCCATCAGTCACCAGAATCAAGAAGGGACCTTAGCCTAATATCCTGACCGAAGGATGACACCACTAGAAGTGCAGTTCTCACTCCCCCTGCTTCTAGAAAGGTCCTGCTGTATCAGCACAACAGCAACACAGAGGAATGAAAGCAGAAGAGACCTGCCTCGCCTGTCTGTGATATTCTATATAACCCTTACCCCTGTAAAATTGCTTTTATCATTGAACCTTAACTGCATTGCAAACTAAAAACATAGTGCAATCATTACCTACACAAAAGGAGTGCCCATTTGTGTCCTGTTATTATAGGAGCTCCCATTTTTTGTCCTGTTCTTGTAAAAACAAATGACTGACCTGAAGCATAGAGAAAGGACATTTTCATGATTTTGCATCATTTAGTTTGCATGTGGTTGTTTTCATTGCTTCAACTTTAACATTTGTGTTTTCAGTGAAGACATTTTTAATTCCTAAGAAAACTATTAATAGACTCCTCACATTAAATCATTTTATAATTGTGCTGGTAAAGGTTGAATTTGGAGCGTATGGTTTATAAATATGTCTTGAAATGACCCTTAGTGGAGTATGTATCAGCACCGAAATTCTTAGACTTTCTGGAACCAGTTTCAGTTCCTGGCAAGACGGACATAGCTCCTTAATTTTCTGAGAGATCAGATACATTCCTTATAGTCCAGTTTGTTTGGGTCTTCTGAAAAGAAAAAAAAATTCTTGTTTCCAAAGTTCTGAGTTAATCACCTGATTAATGATGAATTTCTCACAGGATTTTTTTCTTAAGAATGATCATTTTTAAAATCCTAAATCTTCTCAGAGCTCGACATTTTTTTAAATGTGAAATACTTTAAATGTATAGAAAAGAATATAACACACTCTTATGCACCAAACACTATCAATTAGCAGATGTCAATATTTTACTATATTGGCCTCAGTTTTTTTTAATAATTTATTTAAAGACAAAATATTTGAGATACAGTTTAAATCTCATATTGGTTTCAACCTTACTAAATCCATTGTGTATTATTTCCAAAATTGTTTTAAACTTTCATCACACATTCATATTCATACACAGTATGAACAAAGATGGAGTTTTTTCTTTTATTTATTGTTTATATTCAAAAAAATTGTTTTCTATGGTTTTAACTTTATCTAAATAGAGTCAACATTACACAAACCCTTTGGACACATCATGTTATTTTAGCTCAACAGCAGGCTTTGGCAATGTATCTATGCTGTTACTTGTACCACTATTCAATTTAGGTTCTTTAATATATTCCTTTGTATGTCTTAACTTTTTATCACAGTTGGTATAATTATTGAATAGAAGATTCATTTTATTTAATTATTTCAGTCTTTCATTCATTCATCATCTCAGTCTTTTTTTCGAATTATTTCTCTCCATCACATTACCCTAACTCTCCCTATCTACTTATAATGGAAATCATACTAGACATGCTAAATCTCACTTTATTCCCCATATCTCTTACCCACTCTTTTTTATTGCTATCTCCTTGTGCTGTGTTCACGGTAATTCTATCCACGGCTCTATCTATTTAGCTGGTAAATTCATCTTTGTGTTTTTATTACATATTGACCTCAAGCAAAGAGAAAGAACATTTGTACTGTTATGATAGTGAACTTGTATATATATGTATTTGTATATTACACATATATCTATGTATGTACTACTATAATAATATGCTGGTATTATATATAAGATATATACACATATATACACACACATACACAAATATATAATATACCAGTACATTAATACATATGTAAATACATACTTGCATCTAGTACATACTTGCATCTAATAAGATGCATTAATATGTTATGTTTTCATAAAAATATGCTTCTTATATTGGTTTTTAGGGTTTTTGAAATTTTTGTGGGTACAGAGTAGGTGTATATATTAGTAGGTGTATAAAATTTCAGTGGGTACATTGTAAGTGTATATATTTATACATGGGGTACATGAAATATTTTGATACAGGCATACAATGCATAGTAATCACATCAGGGAAAATAAGGTATCCATCACCTCGAGCATTTATCCTTTCTCTGTGTTACAAACTATCCAATTACACTATTTTCATTTTAAAATATACAATAAATTATTGGTGACTGTAGTAACTGTGTTGTGCTATCAAGTACTAGATCTTATTCATTCTATCTGACTGTAATTTTGTACCCATTAACCATTCCTACCGCCCCCCATCCCCATTACCCTTTCCAGCTTCTGGTAACCATCATTCTACTCTTTATCTCCATGAGTTCAGTTGTTTTAATTTTTAGTTCCCACAAATAAGTGAGAACATGCAAAGTTTGTGTTTCTGTGGCTGGCTTATTTCATCAAACATAATGTCCTCCAGTTCCATCCATGTCTCAAATGACAGGATCTTACTCTTTTTTATGGCTGAATAGTACTCCATTGTGTATAGGTACCACATTGTTTTTACCCTTTCCTCTGTTGATGAACACTTAGGTTGATTCCAAATCTTGGCTATTGTGAATAATGCTGCAGTACACATAGGAGTGCCGCTATTTCTTCAATATACTGATTTTTTTTTTATTTTACGTATATATCTAGCAGTGGGATTGCAGGTCATATAGTAACTCTATTTTTAGTTATTTGAGGAGCCGCCAGATTGTTCTCCACAGTGGCTGTACTAATTTACATTCCCACCAACAGGGTACAAATGTTCCTTTTTCTCCACACCTTTGCCAGCATTTGTTGTTGCCTGTTTTTTTAGACAAAAGCTACTTTAACTGGAGTGAGATGATCTCTCACTATAGTTTTGATTTGCATTTCTCTGATGATCGATGATGCTGAACACGTTGTCATATGCCTGTTTGCTGTTTGTACTTCTTCTTTTGAGAACTTTCCACTCAGATTTCTTGCCCATTTTTAATCACATTATTTATCTTACAGTTTTATGCTTTTTAACAAACATTTTATAGTTTCTGTTACCTCGAAGTCTGGCTAGTACTTGTTTTATTCTTTGCTTCTTCAACATGGAATTATAATAATGATGATATTAATACTATTAAAGACAGTGATATTAATCTACTTTTATGGAATACCTACTATATGCTAGGTATCATTCGAAGTGCTTTATACACATTTATGCTTGCAATTATTAAAACAACTGAATATAGTCACTTTTATTATCCAATTTTGCAGATAAAAGAACTGAAATTTAGAAGACTGCATGGCTAACAAATAGATGTGAAATATATCTTCAAAGCCCTTGCTCTTAACCAGTAGGCCATGGTTCTCCTAATTATGTATATATGCATATTTTATTAATTCAGTTCATTGGTCTTTAGTTGGTTCTTAAAGATTGATCTATTAATCGAAGACATTCAGCCAAAATATATACAGATAAAGACTGTATATAAATATTATTTAAATATGTATTTATATATCAACACATTTGTATAGAGAAATTGTTGTATGAGATATCATGAAATTATTGTATTCTATCTATTAGAATTTAAGTTGAGTAAAGCTAAAGGATACACTGTTTATGCCAATCAACAAGTTTAATAATATGATATTTCTATTTAATTTACTTTATCAAAATAGATGTAGACATAAAATTTTACATTTGGAAATATAATTTGCTTTACTTTCTTGCTGAAAGTGTGCATTTGTTAATCTTTCTCAATTCTAACATAAAATATTTGGAGTAATCTAATAAAATCTGTTATCAGCCATAGATAAGTAATTGTTTTTGATTTCAAAGTACTTTCTACTTATGGCAGCTTTGGGCAGAATCTTAGTTTTAATTTACTTACATCATTCATGAAAATTAACCTGAAAAATTATGTCAGTTTCAAAGAGAAAATCATATAACCAAACAACTATTTGTTAATAAAATACTCTTTCTTTCCTAAATTAATGCAATGAAAGTAGAAAAATAAGTAAAACTTATCTTGACCCAAGGAGAAACCAGGAAAATATCCTTGGCTGCCTGAGATGCAAAAATTTATTTTTGAATAAAATCATGGTAAGTGTTCTACAAACTTTTAGAAACAATATTAGAATTTTGAAATATTCAGACCTCATTTGTTTTATGAAAAAAAGTATAAATATGACTTGTTTGCTTACCTTTTCATTACTAAGGGAATATCCTTTGGGTGAGGCAAGTTCACCGTTTGAAGCTTAAATGACTCCAAGGAGGCTTTCCGGTTTATGGGCAGCACTAGAAGGCACGTGACTTGAAGAATCTCAGAGAAGGATGTGGGAAATGAATGCAAGGTCAACCCTATGTACGTAAGAATTAAAAGAAAGTCCAGCCTCCTTAATTACTAACCATCATTTAAGGAACCACCTATAGCTGGATATGTGAAATAATTAATCCATTACAGTTAAAGCAATTTTCAATTGGATGTAATGTAACCAACAGTATAAAATGAGACTTGGCAAACTTTTTCTAAGGACTATATCACAAATATTTCAGACTTTGTGGGTCCTAAGGTCTCTGTCACAACTACTATGCCCTGCTGTTGTAAAGCAAAGTCAGCTATAAACAATGTATCAATGAATGAGTGTGGCTTTCAATAAAACTTTTTATTTACAAGAAAGAAGATGGTCAGTGGCTATGGTCTGGGGGCTGTAGTTTGCTGCACCCTGGAATACAGCATGCTAAATGTTACCTACAATTTGAAAATATCACCAAATACCCTAGTTTCCCAAATAAGGAAGCTGAGATGGAGTTTAAATAACTTGTTCACAGTTACAAGTGTATCTAAAAATTATGTAGATATTATCTCTTAGAAGTGAATCAGTATTACTTGAGTTTCCATGTGATGAAGGATTCATACCCAACATCCTTAGGAATGACAAAAAAGGGAAGGGATTTTCTCACTAAATATAAACTTTGTCATTAGTCTATTAAAATGACAAAATAGGTACATGAATATATTAAGACTGCATATTTCTCTTTCCCAAAGCTGAAATATCTTTACTGCACTTAATAGAAAAGAATATGAAAACATTATTCCTTCTTTGGTGTCCAAAGGGGAGGGACAATTTTCACCGACACCGTCAACTTTCATTCACAAGAAGTCAGTAAGTACAGCTCTGAATTGCTGTTTTGCCACAAGCATTTTATTGCTCTTTCCCCCATTATAAAAATGGCAAAGTGCTCTGAAAATGAAAGTATTTCCTCAGGGACAAATTCATAGAGATTTATTACCTTGCCTCAAAGGGATGGGTTTGAGCCATTTTTATAGCCAAAAGTTACTTTTATTTTCAGTATTGGAAGTATTTCTCTGCAGTCTTGAAATGTGTAAAAAGATCGTTCTCCTGAGGACTTCTGCCACTGATACAGCCACCAAGAAACTATCACGAGATATTAGCCAAGTGCTTTGGTAGCATTTAGTGACTCTCAGTCAGAAATATGAATACACTCCCAGGCAGCATCTGAAACTCTTGTGAAACACGAAAAATACATAGTCCTGGGCCTTTCGTTCCTTACACTTCTTGGACTACCGAGTCCCAAGATAGGCCATCTGCAAGCTGAGGAGCAAGAAAGTCAGTCTGACTACCAAAACTTCAAAAGTAGGGAAGGCAACAATGCAGCCTTCAGTCTGTGACCAAAGGCCTGAGAGCACCTGGCAAACCACTGGATGTAAGTCCAAGAGTCCAAAAGCTGAAGAATTTGGAGTCTGATGTTCTAGGGCAGGAAGCATCCAGCACGGGAGAAAGATGAAGGCCTGAAGTCTCAGTAAGTCACGTCATTCCACCTTCTTCTGCTTGCTTTATTCTAGGCATGCTGACAGTTGTTGATTAGATGTGCCTACCCATATTGAGGGTGGGTCTGCCTCTCTCAGTCCACTGACTCCAATGTTAATCTCCTTAGGCAACAGCCTCATGGACATACCCAGTATTGGGTAAAGTATTGTTCTACTTTACATCTTTCAATCCAATCAAGTTGACACTGAATATTAACCACCACACACACCTTACCCCAGTCACACTGAGCTACACTTTTCAGAGATGACTTCTGGATACCTGTATATTTTAAGCAATTCTTTCAATGGTTCTCATGCACAGCCAGCATTGAGAACCATTATTAAAAAAGAAAAAAGCAATTTACTTGATAACATGTAATTTTGAACAGTCAATGTCTAAACAACAGTTATCAGCTTATAAATAATGCTGTATCTAGAAAATGTGAAAAACTACACACCTTCATAACATTCATCAGATTATCAAAGGCAGCATCTGAAGCTGATGGCATAGGTCCTGTCAGGGCTTCCATGAGATCTGCCCTTGGGTCATTCCCTTAGGCTCTATCTAACACAGTGCTGATTTCACTTTGTTCTGGGAAAACTAATGTCAGAATACTCTTCTGTTTCCCATGCTGGGTCAGTTAGAGCTACTCTTAAAAAGGGGAAATCTGAGCACTTCCAGAAAGTACTCCCACCACAGAAGTATATACGAGCCAACAATAAACAAAATGCCTTGCCAACAGCCCGTCATATCTGCATTATCATTAGAACAATTTTTGAATACGAAAGATAATTGATCTTTAGAGGTTTCTCCGTAGTAGGAAAGTATACCTATAATACAACTCTTTTGAGCCAAAGAGATCCCATAAAAAAGGTGCCTATCCTTGGAGTGAGACTCACATGGAATTTACCAAAGAATGCTTTATGAATTTATCAGGCACATATAAAGTAATAATTTATGTTTAGATTTATCATCTCTCTTACTTCACCGGGAATATAAGGGTACTGTATGAGCTGGCAGACTTCCAGTGCTTAGCCAATTGTCTGTATCCATAACTGTGACTGACAGCTGTGAAATATCATTCTAACAAATTTGGATAAATTCCAAATTCATTCCATTCATGCTGCTGTCACAAAATACTGGAGAGTGATGATATATAAACAACAAAATTTATTTATCTCAGTTCTGGAGGCTGGGAAGTCCAAATCAAGGCCCAGGCAGATTTGGTGTCTGGTGAGGACTGCTCTCTGCTTCTAAGATCATACCTTGGCGCTGCATCTTCCTAGGGTGATGAACACTGTATCCTTACACTGTAGAAAGGACAGAAAGGCAAATAGAAAAGTGAATTCACCCTCTTGAGCCCTTTAATAAGGGCTTTAATCTAATCCATAAGGGCTCCACTAATCACCTTCTAAAAGACTCACATATATATCATAAAGTGTACTTAACCATTTCACAAAACTCCTCCTCCTCCAGCATTCCCACATTCAATAAGTTTCACCACAATCTACCTAATCACTGCAGTCAGAATCTTGAGAGTGACCCACATCTATTCCCTCTTCTCATCTTCAGTAATGTAATCATATCTGAGCCATCTTCTACAGCCTCCTTTAACATTGTCTTGCTATAGTTCCAAGTATCACCTTTTCTGGTTGGGAGTGTCAGTATCAATCTAAATGATCTCCCTGTTTCCATCCTTGCTTGTCTCCTGTCTGTATTCAGCAAACGGAGTATGAATCAGTCGTTCAAATCACTGCTTACAAGCTTTCGGTGGACTCCCATTCTCAAAATATTTGCATAGTTAAAAAAATGGTATTGCTTGGTTCTGGCCTTCCTCTAATGTTGTATGGCTTGCCATTCTCCTGGAGCTACCTAGGCTGCAGTTGCCTTCTTTTATTAACTCCTCCATTTACTCCCCAAGCTGTCTTTTTTGTCTGGCACACTCTTCCTTCCATGCTTCTCTTGTAATGCTCTTTATTATTCTAAAATTTTGAATTTCAATCCTCCTTTCTTCAGGGAAGTGCTCCCTGTATTCCCAGAGAAGCTGAGATGCTTATGTTCCTCCTGGAGATTTTTTACTTCCGTTTTTGTTATGCTACATGTGTAATAACTGGTGCACTTTACAAATGTTATAATAGTAGGAACCTGTGAGCATAGGGAGCATGTTTGTCATGTTCTTTGCATTTTCTCTGAGGCCTACTTTTATCCTTAGCCCTAATTCATATTTTTGACAGGACAAATGAGAGAATACATGATGCTCCCATATGTACTGCTTCATGTTCACCAGAAAATTATGTATGCTTTTTGGTTCATAATTGTTAGGAAGAAAGAATGAAGCATGTATTCTGCATATCTGTGGATTTATGTTCATATTGACCCATACTGGACATCATTGTCAGTAATATTTTTCATTTAACACCTTACAATGTATTATTCATGTATTTGGAGAATAAGGTGAAAGCAAAGCTGAGAAGAATTGAAAGGGAAGATAGGAGAAGATAATAGACAATTTGTTCTTTGATTGTCATTGAATGCCAGTTACTTTACTCATTTCCCAATGCATGTTTCAGAATATAAAGTAGTCCCCACTTATTTGGGAGGAATAAATTCCAAAACCCTTAGTTGATGCCTGAAACTGCAAATAGTACTGAATCCTATACATCCTATATTTTTCCTATACATATAAACCTATGATAAAGTGTAATTTATAAGTTAGGCAGAGTAAAAGTTTAACAATCACTAATAATAAAATATGAAAATTAAGTAAAATAAGGGTTACTCGAACACAGGGGCTGTGATATTGGGATAGTTGATTTGATAACCGAGATGGCTCCTAAGTGACTAATAGGCAAGTACTGTAGACAACCTGGATACGCTGGACAAAGGAATAATTTTGAGCAGGATGAACAGGATGCTACAGGATTGAATCATGCTACTCAGAATTGTGTGCAATTTATAACCTACAAATTTTTTATTTCTAGAATTTTCTATGTAACATTTTTGGACCACAGTTAACCTCAGGTAACTGAAACCATGAAAAGTGAAACCACAAATAATGAAGGACAGTTGTGCAGACTCTGTGTGTGTGTGTGTGTGTGTGTGTGTACATGTGTACATGTGTGCATGTGTGAAGACTTCATCAGACACAAAACTATGGTCAAGTCAATTACTAGCTGTCTAACTGTGATCAAATGACATACATTTTCTAAACATGTTCAACACTACCATACCAAAAAAAGAGAGAGAGAGAAATAGGCAAGAAGCAAAGGGCAACAGGTACCAAGTAAGTTCAAAGCCCAACAGAGAAAGCAACATTAAATCTTGTCTTAATGCTTGAGAATAATCTTCATCCCTATGTCTAATCTTCCAGACAGACTGAGGCATGGGTTGGAAACCCAAGGCTCCTAGTGGCCCTGCTCTCATGGATTTGTTGGATACAGCCACTGCACATATGTCAGGAGTTGGAGTCAGGTGCCCGCAGCTCACCAAGGCTGGCATGGCACATTGGGGACCTTACAGGTCAGGGTTCTTACGGAAAACCTTGACACCGTGGTTCCACTAAGCATTGCCATAGTTGAGGCTCTCTGCAGTGGCCCCAACCATGGCTCTGCTAGACATTGTCCTGGGGGAACACTATAAGGTTGCCCCACTTTTGTGACAGATCTCTGCCTGGACCTTGAGGCTCACTGAGTAACTTTCAAAATCCTGGTGGAAAAAGTCATGCCCCCACAACTCTTGCACTCTGCACACCTGCAGAGTTGGCACCTTGTGGATGCCAACAAGACTTACTGCTTGTACCTTCTGGAATAGAGGCCTGAGTCACATTTGGGCATTCTTGAGCCACAACCGTGGCGGCCAAGTAGAGCTACATTGAAAGAGACTTGAGGCAGCCATGGCAAGTGATCCCCAAGTTCCCATGGGTACCCTGGGACCCTCCAATTTCCAATAAGATATTTCATATTTCTGTCTAAGACCTCACCAGAATGGCTTTTACTCTTCATACTTCTACCAAGTTTCTGTTAATGACTACATCTATAATCTCTAAGACTAATGCTTTCTCTACAGCTCTCTTTTAAGCCCTCACCAGAATTTTCTTTAATGCTTCGTACATGGCAATGCAGGCTTTTTTTGTGGCTTTTTCTGAAGGCTTTTTTCAGCATTCTCTTCAAAACTGTTCCAGCCTCTACTCATTACCCAGTTGTAAAGATGCTTGTACATTTTCAGGTATTTGTCACAGCAATACTCTCACTTCTCAGTACCAATTTCTGTTGCCATCCGTGCTGCTTTCACAAAGTATCAAAATAAATAATAGAAATTTATTTCTCACATTTCTGAAGGCTGGGAAGTTCAACATCAGGGTGCTATTATGTTTCTTGTCTCGTGAAGGCTGCTCTCTCTGCTTCCAAGATGGGGGGAAGCCCTCATGACATAACCACTTCCTCCAAAGGCCATGCCTCTTAATATTGTTGCACTGGGAATTGGGTTTCAATAGGAATTTTAGAGTGAATACTATCATTTAACCATAGCATAGGCAATATGACTGGAAGTTTTAGAATATTTCACATGAATCAAAGAATAGTGAATATTTTTAACTCTACTAAATTTTTATGGTTTCCATCTACATTTATCCATGAGGCCCATTGATTTATTCTCAGTCCCTTTACCTCCTTTATGGAGAATAGATAAAAAAAAAATGCCTTCAATAGATATAGAACACATTTTACCAAATAAAACTTTTTTTAAAGCTGATAAAGAATGCATTGTGTGTTATGTTTGTATTAACTGAATTATCTACATATCCAAACTGTTTGGTCTTACCAAATTAATTTTGAATTTCTGCTTTATCAATTTCTGGACTATTCAGAAGGATAAATTCAAACCTCAAATCTAAAGCAAAATTAGTGCAGTTATAACAAAACAGACTGTCATTTATATCTAAAATGTGATTCTTAGTCTCACGAACACTTTCAGAGCAATATTTTACAGAGAACTTATAAAGAAGCCTTTTTCCTTTATATTCACTTCTAAAATTTTGGGTAAAAGACCCACAGCTTTTTTAGCTGTTTTTGAAAGGGACGGGCTGTGGATTTTTGTACAACAAAATTTAATTTCATTCAAACATAGGGATTTTAAATATATCTTTATACTGTAATTTCTTGTCACCAGAAGACAGTGCCTGTCAACGCTTCTCTGGCTGTCAGAACCTTGCTATGGAAACATTATGTGGCGTTTCTTCACTTGATCTAAATAAAAAGATGGGTTGGATGCTTTTTTGGGCTCCAAGTGTTAATTGCATCCTAATAAAATTATCTAGTTAAACTGTCTGCTTTGTGGTGCATTGCCATAGAGAAAGGATTTCCAAAGGAAGACTGTTCAGTTGATTGTGCTTTTAGATAATTAATTGAAATGAGAAAAATAACCCCCAAAATGAGGATTCTATAATGCTGGCTTTTTGGCTCTGTTTAATAACAAAATTTCTAAGATTACTTGCAGCCGATATAAAATTCTCCTTCAGCTGAGTGTATGTCATTGCTTCTCAGTTCATCAGCTTTGACTTTGTATTTGACCAAACCCTTTCAATGTTCGAGGAGTGAAACATGAGGATAAAAGTTATTAAGATACCTTGAGAAAACAATTAATTCGCTTACACTAACTGAGAATGTATGCATAAAAAACTTGTGACTTTTATCAAGTTCAGGTTGGTGATGATTTATTGTGTTTTTTAGTGTGCTTGCTGTGTTTTATTTTGGTTGTAAGAGCCCCATTTATATCTATCTTCCAGAGATCATTTAGCTTTTATTTATTTTTTGGAAGCAGATAATCAATGTGTTATTTGTTTTTTTGTATCAATGTTAATATATTATCAGTGTCTTATGCCCTAAATTCTTAATATTCTGATATTGATTTCATTTTCCTTTTCATCTGACATTAGTTACAAAATAAAATTACACTTTTCTCATTCTTAATTAAAAATTTTAAAATCATTCATTATATCAGAAATTGATCCCAGCCAAGCGCCAAGTCTTTCTTCAATCCTGTGATAAGTCTTTCTCCTGTTTTACTCTGATATTCCACAGAAGCAAGCCTTTCGTTTATAACATATATTCTTTAAGATCATAACCTGTTATTAGCAAAAATTCAACTACACTTTTTACTCCACCCTAAACATACTTATCTATATCTTCAAAAATATAAGCTTCAATTAACACCATATACATTTACATGCTTTTACAAGTCCTATTCCAGATGGAGAATAAAAACATTTCACTCAACAGGGCTATTAAAATGATGAGAAAAAAAAAACTTGCAAGAAAATTACTGGTTGATTTCCTACCATTTTTTTTTCTTTTGCAACAAACTTTGCTATTTACTTTAATGACATTTTCTCTATAATCTTATACATAGATTCATTTTAATAAATTTCAGTGTCCCATCAATTGTTTTAATTTTGATTTATTATCTTAGTTCACATTAAGCAAGTCCTGCATGATGATTCTCACTCATGTCCCTCTAAAAGGATTGTGGGAATAAAACATAGTCTTAAAGCTATTTGATTTATGTAAAGTAACTTTTTCAGCTATATAGTTAACGAATGTCCAAGTGAGATGCTTATTGGAGACACGAGGTTTTCCATTCAATATATGAACATTGAAAAAGTATTTGTTTTCAGACTGTTTCTGTATCTGCACAATGCAGATGAGGGTACTTCGTTCTCGCCTGTGATCCATGGACAGGTTCACATTTGACCCTACACACAAATCAATCTTGAGAAATCATTTGACAATCCACTAGGCTGTAGTCTCATTAAGAGGGAAGATTAAATCTTATATTTTTTCTATTATCAGACTGGCCTATAATAATAGATGCTTGATTAATATGGTAGAAAATATAGTCAGTATACAGTTATCTAAAACAGCCTAATATGTAGTTTAGGAAATAGTCAAATAAAAGCAATTAAATTGGGCTCAGGCTTTTCTGTGTCCTGCTTTATTTGCCTAACTTTTAGAAAGTAAGGTCATATGTTAAGTTGTCTGTCTAAAGAGTTAATTACATTGCAGCTATTATCTAGTTGGGGTCCAAGTAAACAAAGAAATGCCACTCCAGTTTCTAATTTGAAGATGAGAAGCTTGGACACACAATATATAGGAGATATTAAAACTATACAGTCAATGAGGTGGAATGAGATAGCTTGTGTTTTAACACCAAAAGCCATTGACTTTCTATTGGTAATTATATCTCCCCTAGTTTCAATAATTGTATCCTAGTTATACAAGATGTTAACATTAGGACAAATTAAGTAGAGGGTATATGGGTACTCTCTGTTTCTGCAACTTTTCCATGAGTCTAAAGTTATTTCAAAATAAAACGTTGAAAAATAATTAAAAAATGGTTATAGTACACATTTACGTAACACTTAGCAGGACTTAAGGTTACTTTTCTAAGTACTATACCTATATCAACTAATTTTACCATACAGAGATAAAGTTTCAGATTCAAAGTGTCAGATTTCAAAGTCTAAGGTAACTCATTAATATTATTAAAATGTGTTTTTAAAAATACTCTGATGCGTGAAGATATTTGTAGTCAATTGGTACCAAAGAAAATATCATTAAAATATTTCTACAGTTTTATACACACACACACACAATATGGATAATTATTAAGTCACAGTAGTTTGAAAAAAAAAGAGTGGAAACTTCATAAAGCATAATGAGATAATGATTAAATTGACAGTTGTACAAGGAAAGGGCTAGGCAACAAAACCATCAGATTATACATGACAATAAAATCCAATTTATACAAAAGGAACTCTAAGACTCCCTGATTTGGAAAAGAAACATATTAAATTTGAGAAATGCTTCAGTCTTTTAGCTTCGCCCTCTTTGACTTCTTTTAATTTTGACCTCTTCTCCACTCCACCTCAATCATTTCACCTTCTCAAATTCATAGTATGAAAAGATAGAAAAAACTAATCAAAATTTAAAGTGCCATATATGGCTATGTCCTAGACTGATCAAACAATTAACAGATTGATTTGATGTATCTATTATGTGAACTTCATGCAGGTATAATTTCCCATAGACAACAGGACACTCTGCAGCATGACTGTATTTGGAGCTGTTTCTTTTTATTTTTTTTTTACCCTTTTTTAGGTTCAGGAGTATATATGCATGATTGTTATATAGGTGTACTTGTGTCATGGGGTTTTTTTGTACAGATTATTTCATCACCCAGGTATTACCAGGTATTGCGCTTAGTACCCAATAGTTATTTTTTCTGCTTCTCTTCCCTCCTCCCACCCTCCACCCTCAAGTAGGTCCTATTGTCTGTGTCCTTCTTTGTGTCCATGGGTTCTCATCATTTAGCTCCCACTTACTTGAAAGTGAGAATATAAACTATTCTACCATAAAGACACAGCACATGAATGTTCACTGCAGCACTGTACACAATAGCAGACATGGAATCAACCTAAATGACCACCAATGACAGATTGGATAAAGAAAATATGATACCCATACACCATGGAATACTATGGAGCTATTTCTTAATGTTGCTTTCATTTTAAAAAGACTGAATTATTGAAAGGAATGTTGACATGATTCTGAAGCTCAACTTTAGCATCTGAAAATAATCAACATTTATTTGCCTAAAGAACAGTAAGGAAGTACTTCATCCAGATGACAAAAGCATTAAAATTGGAAATTAATTCTCCTAGCCACTCATTAACATACTGTGCACGCAAGTATGCATCATATCTTTTGTTTGTTAAGTTTTTTAGAGACAGAGTATCATTCTGTCACTCAGATTGGAATGAAATAGCATCATTACAGCTCACTGCAGCCTCAAACTCCTGGGCTCGAGTGATCCTTCCACCTAAGCCCAGTAGCTGGGACTATACCTACACACCAACACACCCAGCTAAGTTTGTTAGAATTTACTTTTTGTAGGGATGTGTTCTCGCTATGTTGCTCAGGCTGGTCTCAAACTCTTGGCTTCAAGCGATCTTCCCATTTTGGCCTCCCACTGAAAGCCAGTGCACCCAGTTCCCAGAGCATTTTTGAACCACATTTTATGAAGGTATGTATATAAGAAATGGTCATTTCTTTTTAGTAGCTCAACTTAAGATCTGACCACTGGATCCCTAGGATTGTAATCTTAATTCTATTTTGTTATCTCCTCTGCTCACCCTTTCTTTTTTCTTTAGTCATACCAGAGATTTAGAGTCCTAAACTGTACTAAGACACAGGGGAGCTTATTGTAGACAAGAAGTGAAGTGGGGGCTCTCTGAATGCTGAGATTACACAGCTGCAAACATGTTACTACAAGACATCCACTGTCCCTGCCATCAGGGCCTTAGTAGCTTTAGTGTCATGCATGCAAACAGACCAATGATCCAATTTTTCTAGAGTAATGACCATGCAGCTATTCCTTTTGCACTGTTCCTAAAGAACGATTAAAATTGCCCAGAGTCACAGACCTCTCCACTGTGCATAGCCACAATAAATCTCTTTTTGGCCTTACAGGGAGAATGCTTTTTCTTTGTGCATTTTTTTCATACTAAACTTACTTTTTTTCACACTCCCTATATCACTTCTATCGTCTCAATCAGGTATAGAAATTCTATCTAGAGCTTAAGTTTTGGGGGTGAGGTGTATTGAGTGTACTGATAAGGAGAGAGTTAAGAATCCCAAACTTTTGAATAGTGCCCTTGGCCTTGCTTCATATCTTCCCTGAGGCCCTGCCATGTGTCTTGCCTGAGGAAGGAAAATGTCAAAGCATACAGATAAGAAAAGCATGCAATAACATACTTTAAAATATTACCCAGCCACAAATGATATTTTTTAAACAATTTGAACACTGTCATCCACTTGTGGGTATTCACCAAATACAAAATTTTTATCTAGAATAAACTGTGGATGAAGAAGACAGCAAGTCAGCACCACTACAATAAAAGTTAACCACACACACCAGGGCTGGAATTTTCCTTATCATTAAACCATATCCCATATGCAGATACCTGAGGAAACTCAAACAGTAATATTAATAATCTCTCCTTGCTCCAGGGTACAACTAAATCAGCACAAACATCATAATGTTCTGCTATGAGCTACTTCACAAGCTTTTCAGGCAGTCTTTGCTTTCTTTTCCTCCCTTAGGTCTGCATTTTTTAATCAATCAATATGCATTGTCCAGTCCTCTTCTCCCTCACTCAAGTAATATCATGAGAATAATTGAATCAACTGTTTTTCTGCTGAAATTATCTATGCTTTCTGTCTCCCTTTACACTATGCAACATTATGGTCCCTTTGGAACAAAAATCTCAAGCTTTGCAAGTTTGGAGATTTGAAATGTTTAGAGTAGAATGTAAAGAGTGCAGATACAATTGCTTATGTTTGTAAAAATATCAGAACTATTTGTTTAACAAAGTAGGCCGTTTCCACCCCTTCCATGCATAATCCATTAAGTTATGATTCCAGAATTAGGATTTTGAGAAGCTTGATGGTTAGGTTCACATCCCCATAATGACATATTTCCCAAGGCTCTGGAAAGAAAGGGGTATAATTAGATTACTATCACCAAGTATCTTGTTTTAAATTTAGAACTTTTGAGACCGATGACTTTTGAAATAAGAATGATAGTCAATATCCTGAAGGAACTGGTAGGCTGGAAAACTGTTTTCTAGCTATGAGAATGAGAAAGAGAAAGAGAGAGAGAGAGACTATCTTCCCTCTAATATCCTTTTTCTTTTCTTAAGAAATGCAGTCATATTCAGAGGCAAATATTTCTAACACCAATCTGCAGGATATACTTCACAGAAAAGTTATTTTATACTAGAATAAAGATGAAACAGTTTTGAAATATGAACTATAATTTGATATATGGCTTAATACGATGGGTTTTTTTTAATTAATTAAGTGAATGAATAATTTTTACTTCTAAGCCACCAGAGAATACAGGACATCATTTTCTTCTGTGTTGTATAAGTATGAAATAAAAGCAGTTATCCTTTGGAGCTCCTCTTACAAAGAAGTAACTGCATCAACTGGAAAAATGCTGCTACTGTCAGAGTGTTAGCTAGTGAAATGGCAGAATATGAGAAAATGCCAGTACAAAAATGGATGATTTCAAATAAAGTATAAAATACGTATTGTAAAATAAGGCTATAATTGATTGTTTGGGTCTCTTACCAGAAAGGAAAGGAAGTATTAGAAAAATATTCCATGGGATAAAGACACTAGGTGAAGAATGGCAAGCTACAAGAGTTGATCTGTGTGTGACAAATACTCTACCTTTAAACAAGATAATAGGTGCTCTGGAATAGAAGAAGCATATGCCATTATCTAATTGAGTATTATGTTATAATAATAAATGTGTGAAGACCAGGAAAGGAGAAACAAATGAATAATTAATAAAATACTGGTGATTTTCTACCAAAACAAGGGAAATTCAGATAAAAATTCAGTGTAAGAACATTTCAATAACCTTCAAATTTAATCACTTAGTTACTTCATTTATTGTTTTTGCCAAGAACATTTGTTATGAGTAAATTATCCAGAGACCTTAATGTGTTCATTACTGGTTAGTAGATTAATCGTAAATACATATCCATGTATAGGAACCATGAAGGAATTTTTTCAACATTGTTTTAAAATATAAAAAGAAATAGCTAAGATGGCAGAAATATGCAGTCATCTCGTCAGAATAACTTCAAAACCCAATCAATTAATATAATGAAAAAGAAAAAAATAAAAATAAGGTGAACATAGTTTTGAAACAACATATTACACTTTCCACTTAGCTTGAATTATAGAAGTTTGGTAAACTGTCACTCCCAATTTAAGTGAAAACAAGTCATATAGCACAAAAACATTTTATTTTGTTAAAACCTATTAGGAAATTGAGGACAAAGAAATCTGAATGAACTAAAATCCAAACAAGTTATAATCTCCTGCCAGAAGAGAAAAGATCTTAATTGCCTTCATGGTGGAGCGGTGGAAGAAGGGAAAAACACCATAGATGAGGGTCAGAGGAAACTAGGAATAGTAGAGGAAAGATTGCACAGAGAGAGGCCCTTGAGGCATCAATGCACAGAACTTGCAGAGAATTGTAGACAGAAAAACAGAATAAGGCAAAATATATCTAAGGCATCTGAGGCTCTTACTGAAGAGCCCATCCCCTGCTACAGCGTTCCCCACTTCAAATCTGGGGAATGGGCAGCCAGAATGAAGAGATCTCGGAGACAGACTTCCATGGCTGGAGAGAGCTCCTCACCAGCCTCAAAAGCTAACAGCCAGAATTTAAGGCAGAGTGAATATTTTCACAGTTTTGAAAGCTTGTGGCTGGGCTATGAAGCATAAAGACATCTTTGGAGTCTTTCCAGACTCAAATCCCAAGTCCTACTGAAAGGAGACTCATATCTAGTGCTAAAATTATTTGAATCCAGTAGTAAATGTTTCTAGCTAAAGAAATAACAAAGCCCAGGCCCAGCTTAAGTACAGATTAAGACTCTGTTGCCTAACAGAAACCTGCACCCTTTTCTAGGTGTAAATAATAATTTATTTCAGTCTCTATAGTTCTTTACCATATAATATTAATAATATAATAAAATATTTTAGGACACATGAAGAAAAAAATTAATGTTACTAAATAAAGAAAACTGTCAAAATAACCAAATATAAAGATGGACCAAATGTGCAAATAGCCTGATAGAAGTTTAGAAAATAACTATGATGATATATTAGGGAAGGGGGAGGGTGATATCTGTGAATAAATGAAAATTTTCAGCAACAATAGAAACCTATGGAAAAGAGTCAAATGTGAATGCTATGAATAAAAGTTACAATGTGAGAATTTGAGATTTAATTTGATAGATTAGAAAACTTGATGTCGAGGAGAAAATTATCAGTTAACTGAGGAAATCTCAATAGAAATTATTCAAACCAAAATATACAAAGAAAGCAAAAATGTAATAGAAACAAAATAGTCTCTAAAGACTTGTAGGACAGTATCAATCAAATGTGTATGTAATTTTAGTCATAAAAGGAATGAAGAAAGAGAATGAAACAGAGGAAATATCTGAAGATACGATGGTAAATAATTTTTTATTCATAAAAGACATCGATCCACTCATCTAAAAAGTTTGTGAACCCCAAGCAGAATCAATACAAAGAACACCTCACTTTCACATAGCATAGGCAAACTACTGAAAACCAAACATAAAGAAGCAATCTGAAAGCAGATGGGGAAGCCAGTAAATTCATTACATGTGGATATATAACACTAAGAAAAATGGCTGACCTTGCTTCATAAACAGTGAAGATCAGAAAAAGATATGGGACATCTTTAAAGTGCTGAATTAAAAAAAAAAAACATTTTATTTACAATTCTATACTGCAAAAATTTCATTCAAAAAAAAAAAACAAAACAAAAGGTTAAAAACATTTATAGATGGACAAAACTATTGAGAATTCGTCTTCACTAGACTTGCCCTAAAAGTGTTACTGAAAGAAGTTATTCAGGCTGAACCAGAATGATTCCAGATACAAAGGCTGATCTGTATGAAAAAAATGGTAAGATCAGAGTAAATAGTTTGATAAAAATAAATACCTTTTAAATTCGATTTTATTAAATATTTGTTTATTAGTTTTGTGTTGCTGCTATCACAAATTATCACAAATGTAGTGGCTTAAAACAACATAAATTTGTTATCTTACATCTGTGTAGGTAAGTCCAACACTGACCTTACTGGGTTAAAATCAAGGTGTTGGTAGAGCTATATTTGTTTCTGAAGGCTATAGGGGAGAATCTATTTCCTTGCCTTTTCCTAGCTTCTTGAGTCTGCCTTCCTGCATTCTTGAGCACATGGTTCTCATTCACCATTTTTAGAGACAGCAACAATGGCTTAGGTCTTCTTTGTATCACATCACTCATCTCTTCTGCCTCCTTCTTCCACTTTGAAGGACCCTGGTGGTCACACTGGGCCAACCCGGATAATCCAGGATCAACTCCCTATTTTAGGTCAGAGGGTTAGTTCCCTGGTCTCTTTGTGCTGCTATAAGAAAATAACACAGACTGAATAATTTACAAAGAATAAAAATTTATTTTTCACAATTCTGGAGGCTGGAAAGTCCAAGATCAAGGTGCTGGTATATTTAGTGACTGTCGAGGTGGCTTTTGGCCTCTGGAGGAGATGAATGGTGGGTCCTCACATGCTATAAGGGATGGGAGGGTAAAAGATATAGACCCAGTTGCCTCCACCTTTCATAAGACCGTAATTCTGCGTAAGATGACTTTACTCTTATTATTTAATTACCTCCTAATGGCCTCATCTCTTAATACTGTTGTATTGAGGGTTAAGTTTCAACATGAATTTTGGAGGAAACACAAATATTCAAGACCTGGTGACTATTTTTTTTCTTTTTCTCAGATATAAAATACATTTATTTCATCTTAATAATCCAAAGTCTTAACTTGTTCCAACAACTACTCAAAATTTCAGTCCAGTATCTCACTTAAATATCATCTAAATCCGATGTGGGCAGAACTGAAAGGTGTGTTTCATCCTGAAGCAAATTTTCCTCTAGCTGTAAGCCTGTAAAATCTAACAAGGCATGTGCTTCCAAAATACGATGATGGGATTGGCATAGGCTAGACATTCCCATTCCAAAAGGGAGCAAGCAACAAGAAAGAAGAAAGGGCTGACAGTTTTCAAGTATGTCTAAAACTCAACAAGTCAAGCAACATTAAATCTTGAGACATGAGAATAATATTCTTTGACTCCATGCCCTGACCTCTGAACATACTGGTGTGGAGGTTGGGCCCACAATTCCCGTGGCTTTGCTGAGCCCAGCCCATGCGGAAAATCTCACTTGCTGGAGTCAGATGCTTGTTACTCTCCTCAACTGGCTTTACAGGCTGACAGTTCTACAGATCTGGACTCTTGGGAGCAGCCCTATACCCACAGCTCTACCAAGCATTGCCCTAGTGGGAGATCTCTGTGGTAGCCCCACTTCTGCAGTGGCTCTCTGGGCCCTGTGTCTCTCTGAGGCATCGTTTGAAATGTAGATTGAGGTAGCTATGTGTCTATGACTAATGCATTCTGAGAATCTGGAGTTAGCACTATGTGGCTACTGCCAAGTTGTAGCCCCTGTGCCCTATGGTGTGGCTTAAGCTGCACCTGGGTCAGCTTGAGCCAGCTGCAAAACCAAGGGATGCTGTGCTGGTATATGGGGAGCAGAAACTTGAGGTTGCCCTGGACAGCAAATCCTGAGGTCCCATGGGAACACTAGGCCCCTCCCTTGAAACCATTCTGCCCTCTCGTTCCTGGCACTCTGGGCTTGTAACGGGAGTAGCAGTCTCCAAGTTCTCCAAAATGCCTTCAGAGTCAATCTTCCATTTTCCTGATAAATAGCATCTGCCTTCCTTTTATTCATACTAATCTTGTCAAATGTTCACTTGGCCAAACCCTTAGTGTTTTCTCCCAAACATACCTTTTCATTGTAATCTGGCTAGGCTGAGAATTTTCTAAATATTTGAGTTATGCTTCTCCTTTAATTGTAAATTCCATCTATAAAACATGTCTGTCTTCTTGCATTTTACTATAGGAAGTTAAGAGAAGCTATGTAGCACCCGAACACTTTGCTTAGAGATTTCTTCTACAACCAAATATCATAATTCACTGCTTATAAGTTCTGCCTTTCACAAGATACTAGGATATGGTGATAATGCAGCCAAGTTCTTTGGCTCTTTATAACAAGGATGGCCTTTGCTCCGGTTTCCAATAAGATATTCTGTATTTCCATCTAAGACCTCATCAGAATGGCCTTTACTGTCCACATTGCTACCAATATTTTGATCCTGACCATTTAGACAATCACTAAGAAGACTGAGGATCTGTCTACAGCTCTTCTCTTCTTAGCCCTTCATAAAATAGTCCTTTATGGTCTGGCCACTACTCATTACCCACTTTCACAGCTGCTTCCGAATTTTTAGGTATGTTTTTATAACAACATCCACCTTCTTGATACCAATATCCTGGTCCATTTTTGCTGCTATAACAAAATACCACAGACAAGATAATTTATTAGGTTAGTGCAAAAGTAATTGCAGTTTTGTTCATTAAAAGTAGTGGCCAAAACCGCAATTACTTTTGCACCAACCTAATATAAATCACAAAAATTTATTTCTCACATTTCTGGAAGTTGAGAAGTCCAAGTTTAAGGCACTAGCAGGTTTGGTGTCTGGTAAGGGCTGCTGTCTGCTTCCAAGATAGCAAAATGTTTCTGCATCATTTGGAGGGGAGTCTGCCTTCATGACTTAATCATCTCCTAAAAGTTCTAGTTCATAATATTGTTGTTCTGGGCATGAAATTTTAACATGAATTTTGGAGGGGACACAAACATTCAAACCATGGAATTTAGCTATCTTAAATCTCCTTTGCTAAGTAACATAATATACTCACAAGTCCTGGGCATTAACCCATAGACATTTCTTTAAGGCTACTATTTTGCATACCACAATATGTATATTTTATATGTAGTATATGTTTAAAATATAAAATGTTTATATTATTGTATTTGAACTCTTTTAAAAATTGACTGTTCAAAAGTAAAAGTAATAAAAATATAAGAATAATATGAGTTTACTGAATATATAGAAGCATAATATACAACAATAATAGGCAGTAAATAAATATGTTTTTAACATTCTCTCATTGTAAAGTAGCTGACAATTTTTGAAGCTAGACTGTTATTAGTTGAAATGCATTTTGTCATCTCTAGAGAAACAATCAGAAAAAGATACAAATAAAAAGGTGATAGACATGCAAAAATAAATCCTCAAGTCATCCTTCAAAAAAGATCAGAAAAGGATGAACATGGAAATAAATAATTAAGTGGATAAGTAGAAAATGATCTAGGATGTCAATAGTTACATTAAATATAAATGTCTAAACCACTACTTAAAAGAGAGACAGCTAAAAAAATTTACTAAATGTTAAGAAATATACTTTAAATATGACAGATACATGTTAAAAAGAAAATGGTAACAATATAGATCATAATAATGTCAAATATTAATATTTTGTGTAGCTATTTTAATGTACAGTGAAATAAAGATGAAGAAAAGGAAGCACATTCGTTTACCTGTTCTAAGCTGTACACGATCATTCTTCTAACTACTTAATGACTAACTAAATTAATTTTACAATTAAATAAATAAAGCTTCTTTATTCCTACTTGGGTGTTTTGTTTTGTTTTGTGTTTTTGAGACAGAGTCTTGTGCCATCAGCCAGGCTGGAGTGCAGTGGCATCACAGCTCATCGTAAGCTCAAACACCTGGACTCAAGTGATCCTCCCACCTCAGGCTCCCAAGTAGTCAGGACTACATGCGTGGGTCACCATGCTCAGCAAATTGTTTTTAATTATTTTTTACAGACAGGGTCTTGCTATGTCCCAGGCTAGTTCTGGAACTCCTGGCCTCAAATCGACCTTGGAAGGATTCTTCCAAAGTTCTGGGGTTACAGGTATTAGCCACCACTGCCAGCCACCACTTGGATGTTTTAAAATTTCAAACGTTTAACAGAGAACCAAAAGCCTGTCTTTATATATTTTAAGCCCTAAGTCATAAAGTAATAATCAATTGACTATTTAAAATGTAAGAATATATAAACCATTGTGCCCTTCAAATAGAATAAATATTTTCAGTATTAATTTAACTATAGCTTGTCTTTTTATAAACCACTCCTTCAATTGTATTGACAAAATCTTGAAGTTAGATCCCATTATCAACACGTATACAACAAATTATTCTGGCACCAATATTATAGGGCTTTAAGATTTATGAATCCCATTTCTACAAAGTAAATTTTAAAATTAGCAGGCATGGAGGTGTGCACTTTTAATTCCAGCTACTATGAAGGCTGAGGTGAAAGGATTGCTTGAGCCTGGGAGATAGGGCTTTCGTGAGCCACAATCATGCTACTGCACCGCAGCGTGGGTGATAGAGTGAGACACTGTCTCATTAAAAAAAAAAGAAGAGTTATGATCAAACAGTGACCACCAAAAAATATGATGTCAGTAACAAATTTTTCTTATAATTTAAGTCTGTACAAGAGGCATATATATAAAATAATTCTACATGGGTTATTATATAAAATAAAAATGTTTTAGTATTAATCAATTATCTGCCACATACAGTACTTAAGAGCTTTTATTTACCCTTGGAGAAGATATATGAAATTTTGTGATGTGTGAACAAAGTGCAGATGTTTGTGGATTTGTAGATATGTCTGTGATTGGAGTTAAATAAGCAATTTCAGATAGAGAGGGGTTCTAGGATTAATCTCCACTCTTCACCAACTACTTGCTCCCATTAGGGGATGTCCTCCTACTTTATTATCCACTTCCATTTGTATAAGACATATAATAAACATGTGATTACCAAACATATTATACATTGGAATATTAGAAAATGTCTACACTGTGGTCATAAGTTGAAGTCACAGCAGGATCTCATTTAAATCAAGTGGAAATGTAGGGGAAATGTATCACATCTTCAAGTTTGTAATATTTTACTAATATTCTACAAGCTTTAAACTTCCACTGTGGTTTTGGAAAGACTGGTCATATATTTACGGGTAAACCAAGGCTTATATAAACTTATCAAATTTTTCCCCAGAGTCAAAAGCTTGAAGAGATCTGTTAATTTCTACTATAGGGAACCACTATTATAAACTCAAAAAAAAAAAACCCAGTGTAGTCTCATAAACTTTTCACTAACTTTTTCAGGCTTTTCCAGGACCAGTGACAATTGATGTTTTCTAAGAGAATGCATGTGTGTAAATGCAAAGAGAAAAATAAGTGTCATCATTCATGTTATATATGAATTTGAGGTAACCTCAGAAAGTTTCATTCCTCTTCTACTCTCCCTTATTTGTATAGGATTTACGGGATGATTGGTTTTAATTTATAATTTACAATTATAAATAAATATAAATATTTATAGTTTTTCAATATAGAATTGACTCTTCTGATGAATGAACCACCTCTAATATTTATGCAATTATTGACTGGTTGTATATTGCAACAGTCCATGACTCACCCAATTATATTAATTTTTAAATGATCTTTCTCATTGAGCCAATAAACTTAATTGTTGACGCTCATTAGATTCTATTCTTGTATAATTCACAAGTGTTAATTGTGGTAAAAATGACTAATGTTTCACAAGATTTCTGGTTCTGTTCTCCTGCCAGAAACATGCTGTTTGAGTTCTGCCCTTTGTTAGGGACTGAATGTTTATGCCTCCTCAATACTTTCGTTGAAATCCTATCCCTTAAGGTGATGGTATTAGGAGGTGTGGTCTTTGGAAGGTAATTAGGATTAGATAAGGTCAACAAAATGGATCCTTTGTGAATGGAATTAGTGCCCTTATAAGATTGCTTAGAGTGTCTGCTTCCCTGGTTCCTCTCTTTGCCATGTGAGAATACAGTGAGAAGATAGCCTACTGTGAACCAGAAAGTGGGCCCTCGCCACACACTGAATTGGCTAGTGACTAGGTCTTCGATTTCCCAACCTCTAGAGCTGTGAGAAATAATGTTTGTTGTTTAAGCCACCCAGCTTATGATATTTTGCTATAGCAGCCCAAGCTAAGACACCCCATAACTTACTTTAAGTAATGATAAGTAAGCAGAACTCATCCACTACTTCTGGGTAGAAGAATTACAGAGCTAGCACATGATTCTCCATGATTTTCCAAGTTTACAGGAAACAGAGTAGTATGTTTATATGGCAATGAGATCAAAGCATCCTGGAATGCTGAGCCAATTAATGATAGACAACTGAAACTGAGAAGAGAGTAATGGGAAGGAAGGGGGGAATGTGTTTACATGCATGTGTGTATTTTATTTATTCAATGAAGATTTATTGAGAATCTACTGTGTGCCATCACTTTAGATACAATAGTGAATAGGGCCTTATCCCTAGGAAAATAGTCCTTTAATAAGCAAGAAATAAACATTTTTTTGTGTGAAGGCACTAATCTTTAAAGATTATTTGTTAATTTGGCATAAAGTAACCTAATATGACTAACACAATCCTAAAAGTTTAACCAGTGAATTTTGAGTTTATGTGACTCAATAGTCATTACAATTTTTCAGATCTAGATAGGTCATACAGATGACTAGTTTAGAAAAAAATGTAATTTTATAATTTAACAGGAAACAAATTCAAGATCAGTTAGGAATAAAAATAGAAACACAGTGTAACACACACACAAATCACCTATAATCTCACCATCAGAAATAACCTTTCAAATTGTTATTGTATATTCTTTATACATATATGTATACATTTAACTAAGAAAACATTTTAGTAGTAAAATTGAGGCAAAAAGACTCAGTAAGAGATTCAAAGAGATTCAAAAAGATTCAATATTGGAGGGAAAGAGATTCATTGCAAAGCTATTGAATAGATTTAGGGCAAAGAACAGAATTGAACTAGAGTAGTGAGATTAGAAATAAAAAAGAGTCAAAACATTTTAGGAAACAGAATCAAAATGATCACATGTTGTGGTAGGATAGTGAGATTAGAAATCAGAAAGTGTTGAAAGATTTTAGGAAGCAAAATCAAAATGATCACATGTTGGGATTGCAGCAAAACCAAGGATAACTACAAGTGTACTATTAACTCATATAAGGACCATATCTTCAACTGAGATAGAGACTTAAAAAGAAAAAACTGATTAAGTCCTGTCCATGACCCAGGAACATTGCTTTTTAAAATTTTAAGCAGAACCCTTAAAATGCGCTTGACTACTCTTATTCATGTTATATCCTCATACCAATATTTTGTTTCCCAAATACAAAAATCTATATTTATTGGTCTAAAATGCAAGATGACAATTTTTAAAAAATGTAATGGCAATGTGGCCTCATTAGTTCCTCTAAACCCAAATTACAAATTTGTAAATAGCACTTCTTATAGTTATTTTGAAATGATTACAAGCCCATTGAATTTCTCTTTCCTGCCAGATGCTCCATCATTTGAATATTTTGCACAATTTATAAAAAATTATTTTATATATGCAACTGCATGGAACATATCTCCTCAAAAACTTAACGTCACGATTTGTATACTTACCAACTATTCCAACATTGCTTTTGTCATATCCTTTAACTAAACCACATCCATTATTCTGTCTTGAACCATGTCTATCTGAATTGAAACATACCTGTCTCTTCAACATCAATCCTATCAGGTTTTCTATCCATGCATTATTTTGTAAACACCACAGTTCGGTAACATTTCCACCAATTTAAAAAGTTAATTCTATTTTTATTTGCTTTCCTATAAAATCAAGATGACCTCTGAATAGTAATGTATTTTTAATTAAAATAATCAAAATTTGAGGACAAAAGGAAAATATTTCTCTTAGTTTATTAGTCTAATTTGCCAATAAGTTGAACTATGTCAAGCAAATGTCAAAAGAATGGTAATACATGGTCCATGCATCTTTTCCCCTCCAAATATACACAGCACTATCTTGGTAGCAAAAACTCAGTTTTGAAACTGTTCTTTGTCTTAGAAATTCTTCTGTGTTCAAGGCTTCTCAACTAAAAAACACTAGCAAACTTCTACAAAGTTATATGCATGGAATTAAGCAATCTTTTGTTCTCCAAAGTATAAATAATTTAGGGTCATTGTGCCCCACACTGAAGATAAAAATAAAGATATCTCATGTTAAAAGAAAGTACTTTGTTTCTAAGTTTTAATAGAAAGATAATTGAAAACATTCATTCTCTAAAATTAAATTCCCACTTTAACAATCATGCAGAATATGCTTTGTCTTGGTATCTTCACAATGTTAGTAAGTCGGAAATAGATACTGTTATAGACCAAAAGTTTATGTCCCCCTCAAATTCATATATTGAGGCTTAATACCCAATGTGATATTTGTATGTGGAACCTTTGGAAAGTAACATGAATGGAATTGGTATCCTTATAAAAGAGCTACCAGAGGGCTTCCTTGCCCCTTTAGCAACATGAGACTATGCTTCACACATAAAGATAAAAAAGTGAAAAGACAGTTGTCTATGAACCAGGGAGCAGACCCTCACCAGAAACTGAATATGGGGGTGTCTTGATCTTAAACTTCTCAGCCTCCAGGACTGTGAGAAACAAATCTCTATTTTTAAGCCACCCAGTCTATGATATTCTTTTAGCAGCCCAAATGGACTAAGACAGAAGTTGGTACCCAAGAGTGGGGGTGTTGCTATAACAAATACCTAACAACGTGTGAGCAACTTTGGAACTGGATAATGAGTAGAGGCTGGAAGAGTTTTGAGGTGCATGCTAGCAAAAGCCTATGTTGTTGTGAACAGACCATTAAGGGTGATTCTGATAAGGGCTCAGAAAGAAGAAAGGAGAGCTCTAGAGCAAGTTTCAGTCTTCTTAGAGAACATCCCAGTAATTCTCAACAGAATGTTGGTAGACACATGGGTGGTAAATGCCAGTCTGATGAGGTCTCAGATGGAAATAAAGAATGTATTATTGGACTCTGTAAGAAAGATTATTCTTGCTTTAAAGTGGCAAATAACTTGGGTGAATTGTGTTCCTGTTTTAGCATCTTGTGGAAGGTTTAACTTGCAAGTGGTAAAACTAGATATTTGTCTTCAGGAATGTCTAAGTAAAGTGCTAACACAGTGGACTGGCTCTTCCTGACGGCTTATGGTAAAATTCAAATTCAAGATGGAAATGTTAAGCAAAAAGGAACCAGAAATTAAAGATTTGGAAAATTCTCAGGCTATCTATATTGAAAAGAATGAGAAAAGCCTTTGCAGAAAGGTCACTCCAAAAGACCAATCAGCCAACACAACAGAAGCTCAGGACTATTGTTCAAGACAATGAAAGAATAACTCTAAAGACCTGTCACTCATTCCTTCTTTCCTATTTTTCCCTTTTAGAATGGAAGTGGCACTTCCATTCCTGTTTCCCCATTGTATTTTGGAAGCACACAATGTTTGGTTTCACAGGTTCACAACTGGAGTAAAAATTTGCCTCAGGGTAAATCATACCTTGAGTTTTCACTCACATCTGATTTAGAAGACACTTAAATGAGATACTGAACTTTCGATTTTTGAGTTGACTTTGGAAAAAGTTAAATTTGGCCAGGACTGTTGGAATGAAATGAATGTTTTTTTAATGCTTTTTGCATATGAGAAATAAATTAATTTTGGGGGGCCAGGATAGAATGCTATAAACTGAATGCTTATGTCCCATAAAATTTGTGTGTTGAAACCTAATCACCAATGTAATATTGAGAGGTGGTGCTTTGGGGAGGTGATTAGTTCATGAGGGCATAGTCGTTATAAACGGGATTAGTACCCTTATAAAAGAGACCCAGGGAGATATCTTGCTCCTTTGGTCATGTTAGGACACGCAAAAAGGCAACCAGGAAGCAGGCCCTCACCAGATGTTGAATCTGCTAATGACTTGATCTTGGACTTCCCAGACTCTAAAACTATAAGACTTAAATTTCTGTTGTTTATATTCCACCCAGCCTATAGTACTCTGTTATAGCAGCTAGACTAAGAATTTCCATTTTCTAAACCCTTGTTCAGCATTTTCTATTTCTATTATTGGCAAATAATTATCAGTTATTTGGAAGTAGTAGGTTGGAAGTAAGGTTCTTAATATTGACTATACTTTTAAATAATATTGTTGTTTACAAAACATATCTCCTGTTGCAGGTTCAGGAAAGAATGTTTTTCTTATAATTTTTCCCCTTTCATAATTGAACCTCCTTTCCTTGTCTGTGTTATACGCTTCAAATTTTTACTCTGCACAGAAATATACTGCTTATTCCTGTCTCATGATGTGAGTTGCTGCACAGAAGCAAATTTTGCAATAGCACACCCAGGGCTTTCTACTCCTAAGGAATAGCCATTAGTTCCTAATGCTTTACTGTGTGTTATACATATGTTGTCTTCTGGTAATATCTATTGGCTTTGGGTTCTATTGTTTCCAGTATATTCATTTGCTTTTATTGTTCTGATTGTGACTTTAACATTCTGCTTTTTTATGCATCTTTCCTGAGTCTTCTGCTCAGCTTTATTCTACATCCTTCCTTGCTGCCTCTGTATTGGTTCTTCATACTCTGGCAATGTGTGTTTGAAACCCTGGTTTCAAACTTGTCTCCTTAATCACTTGTTGAGCAAGGCAGCAAATATTCTCCCTTGAAGCCATTTGAAACAAACACTCTCCAACTTTGAAATGTATTAATACTTTTCAAAAGAGAGGGCATTATGAGTTACACAGTAATGTTTGTCAACCTTATGTTCAATAATATGAAAATCTGCTTTGGAAAAAATGATGTATGTGACTCAGCTTATATACTATACACATTAATAAGTGCCCTTGAATCTGTCCTTGAATTCAGCTGTTTTGCATCAGTAATCTTCCCTCTGGTCACTATGTCATTAGAGTGAACTTTATTTTTGGATTCTGCTTATCAAACCATGCCTTTTTGATGTTTGCTCATGTCATGCCTTGCTCGTCTTCTCATGGTTTCTATCATCTTTCTGCTTTAGCTCCTACTGTCCTGCTGAGTAATCAAACAAATCTCTAGATACTGTGGTCTTGCTGCTCATCTCAGTAAAGGACAAAAACAAATAACAGCTGCTGAAATTGTGAACCTTCCTTCCTGGCTGTCAAATTTAGTGAAAACAGATGCTTCAAGAAGTCGTTTGTAATTCAAGCAGGCGCAGAGGAGAAAAAGAAATCCCTTATTTGCGGAAACTAGAGTTTTGCTAGGTCAACCTAACTTCCATCTTACACACTGGCTGAAAGAAACAGTGCATCCTTATTGTATTGCAAGTGCCCAGAACTACCTTTCCAAAATAGGGTCATCTCTTAATCAACAATGCCTAAAAATATGTCCTTGAAAAGTATATATTATAGAAGAAAAATAATTATAACTAAATGAAGTAAATGTTTTAAAATGTTAAGTATTCCTCTAGAAAGGTAAAGTATTTCTATTTCTACATGTCTTGGCACGAACCAGAATACCTAAACCATTGGAAAGAATATTAAACCAGCTATTGAGAGATGTCAGGTCTGGCTAAGTAAGATTCCACAAGTCATTTATACCCATGACCCTTATATTTTTTAATGGTGAAACGAGTGCCACTGAATCTGATGATATCTACATTTTCTTACAATACTAAATTTCCATGATTCAGTAAATTGAATGCCACTTTTCATACTTTATCAGCAAATGATTGCCAACATAGCATCGTCATTCTAATGAGGCCAAAAGTTTGATGATATATGATAATAGAAAATGTTGTTGAATTTATCAAAACATTGCCTGTGCCCAGTTTTTTTAGTAACAAACCTTTAGCATAAAGCCTATTATGGCTGCAGTTAATCGTGTAGCTAACCAGCTAATGAATGTGTCCACTCATTAGTACTAGTTGTGGGAAAAACCCCAAAAACAATAAAAAACACAAACTTAAGACATCCACTCCTTTGTTGGTCTTGTAGGAAGAGAAAATACAAATTCTAAGTGTATGTGTGGCTTTATACAATTAGAGAAGTATAAAGGAACCTTAGAATTCAGGGATATGGAAGAAGAGAAGATGGTTATGAGTCTGTTAGGATTTCAGAGGACCAAAATACAGAAATCCATACTGGCTGGTCCCCAGGAATAAAACAGTTTGGGGGAGAGCATTAAAATGATGAAAAGTGAGAGGATGGTAAACAAGAAAAGAATGAAGCTTCCTCTGAACTACAGATAATCACCGTTCATACATATTTCTCAATGAACATATATTTGTTGAACACCGAGGAAAGTTAGTCACATCTAGACTTTCCTGTAATCATCTTAAATGCCCATTACAGTTCCCAAGAAGTAATAAGATTGATATGGATGGTCATAAGCAACGGGCATTTACTGAGTTCTGTTGCTTTGCATTGAAGCATAAGTGCAATTCAGTTAAAACCTTATGCTTCCATTGAGATGTACTCTGATACCTTTTCTTGGGATCCAGCTTCTTTAAAATTCTTGACTTTTTGGTCAACATTTAAGAAGTCTAACTCCTTAGTGGACTGACACAACTAGATGGGGTCTTAAGTCGCCTTTATTTGAAAATAAGCTTTCTCCTCTAAACTTCTTCTCATAATAAACTAATAAAAATTGATAGTAATCAAGGTAAGCACCAGAATAAACAAACTTATATAGGCATCTATGCCTTAGAGAGAAACTCAATTTTTCCATCATATTACTCTGTATGCTTTTCTTAGTGCCACCTAATTCTCTACTCTATATGAAGCCAAGTGCAAAATAGCATCAGAGGCTGCCTTTACTTACATTTTCATAACAGTTTATCTAGCTCTGGCAAGTTGTTTGCTTATTTCTCCAAGGATCATCCCTAGATCACTAAGAAATTTCACTGGGGATGCATTCAATAAACAAAAACAAAAATCTTTATACTAATAAAGCTTCATTTTATTTTTCCTAATGTATCCCATTTAATATTTCCTTCAAGGACCTGTGGTTATAATAGATAGCTATTTGAAGGCTGTATTCAGGAATTCTGAATGGCAATCAAATGCCATACCTTCATAACTAATTGCTTTCAAAAGAAAAATAATAAATAAATATCACTCACTGTAGCCGTTCCCTTAATTTATTCAGAATTTATCCAAATCTTGAAAGATAAGGAGGAAGACTCAACTTTAAAAAGTGCAGACCCAGTACAATCCAACTTTGACCTCTATTGAAACTGCTATTGTGGAGATCAGTGACCATTAATTTACTAAATCTATTAATCTATTCTCAGTTCTCTTCTTAAATAGCCTACCAATAATATTTGACACAGTTAATCACTCTCCACTCTTATAAACACATTTTTCACTTGGATTCCAAAACAGCATATCAGTTTTGTTTTCCATTTACCTTTATCTCTCACTAATATCTCTTCCCATCTTGTTTCTTGGTTCTTATTTTGCTCCCTAATCTCTTAGCATTGAAGTGCTCATAGCTCAGTTTTAGCGTTTCTTCTCTGTTGACACATACTATTTTGTTCACATTATTTAAAGCTTATGATGCCCAAAGTTTTATATCCATCCTAGACCACTAGTCTCAAATCCTGGCTTGTATATTCAACTTCCAATTCAATATCTCCACTGAGTATTAAAATATGTCTCAAATTTCATCTCAAGTTTAATTTTCAAATTGAATTGCTGATCTTCATTTCCAAACCCGTTTTACCTGTAGTTTTTCACATCTCTCTTAAAATCAATTCTGTCCTTCTAGCTGCTCAGGCTGAAAAGTCAAAGACTCATCATTGATTCGTCTCATTCTCTCACACACCTCATCCAGTCTGTCAAGAAATCCTGTGGGTTTTATATTCAGTATGTATTCATTTTCTGATCCCTTGTCAGCACCTCACTGCTATCACTTTGGGTCAAACCATATCATCTCTTCTCTGGATTATTGCAATGCCTCTTAAGTGGTCTCCCTGCTTCTATCCTTTCCCCCATCTGGAATCTGTTCTCAACATAGCAGCAAAAGTAATCTTTTACAAACATTTATCATATTATGCTCTCATCTGCTCAAGTTCTTCAATGTTTTCTTTTCTCACTCAAAATGAATGACAAAATCCTTACAATAGACTACAAAGTCCTACATTATTCAGCCCCCTCATATTTTTCTAACCTTATCTCATTCTACCTATTCTCTTAATCTGTTTTCCTGGAATCTTCCTGTGTACATCTGCATGACTCACTCCTTCCTCTATTTTAAAACTTTACTTACGTTCTCAATGAGGACAACCTTACCTGATTTACAGGTGCAATCATTTTGGTACACTTTTAGTTCATTCTTCTGCAAACATCTGATCACCTTCCAACACACATACATTATTTAAATATCGGTTAGGTTTATTGCCTGACAACAACTATAAGGGCAGGGATTATTATCTGCTTAAGACTACAATGTTGAACAGACGTAGTTACTCAAAAATAGGTATAGAATCAATGAATAAATTAAAACAAGTGAAGGGTCTATGGAGGGCTGACCACACCTAATAGAGCAACACTGACTTCAGGAGGAAACACATATAGCAACTTCAAATGTAGTGTCCCATAAAAATTCTAATTTGCGCCATTAAATCCAACAAGTAGTGGGAATCGAGTAGAATTATTCTTTGCTATTTATGACGTTTCACTGCATGCAGTCTACTTTCCCTTATTCACACATTAGTTTTATAATTCATTTTCCTTCTTGGTACAAATGTTGCCTAACATCAATTTCCTCTGTATTCCAGTTTATCTCTAACTCCTACTCTAATATTTTACTTAGTTCAATTTTCTAAATGTAAACTTACTTTGTGCAGCCTATCTCAGTCTCTGCTTGGTGTTTTGTCCCTTACTTTCTATTTACTTCTGATTGCTTCTAGAATGAATAAGGCCTTCCTTAACTTTGTATGACTCTATTTAGTATCTTTACACATTAAAACCTGTGTAATCTACTGAGAAAATCATGGAACTGAGAAAAAAAGTGCAATAATAACAATAACAAGCACCCATTTGTGTTTGTTTGTTTGTTTGTTTGTTTGTTTGAGACAGAGTTTAGCTTTGTTGCCCAGGCTAGAGTGCAATGGCGCGATCTCGGCTCGCTGCAACCTCCACCTCCTGGGTTCAAGTGATTCTCCTGCCTCCGCCTCCCGAGTAGCTAGGGTTACAGGGGCCCACGACCACCCCCAGCTAATTTTTGTAATTTTAGTAGAGATGGATTTTACCATCTTGGTCAGGCTGGTCTTGAACTACTGACCTCAGGTGATCTGCCCACCTTGGCCTCCCAAAATGCTGGAATTACAGACATGAGTCACCGCACCCAGCCCAGCACCCATTTTAAAATTACATCTACCCTATGGGTTGGATAATATTGTCACCATTTTCCAGATGAACAAAGTGAGATCCAGTTTTTAATTGGCTTTTCTAACTTCACTTAGCTCGTATGTGTCCAGCTTTCAATGCCAGGTATATGTGCCTTCAAAACTGAAGTTCACTGTACATTGTTACATTGCCTCTTTAATCCATATATCCAAACTCACACTCCAGTGCTTTTTCCATTACATAGGCATTCTTCCCTCATGTTTTAGGAATATACTATTTGCTGTCTCTTCACCCTTAGGCATTTAATAATCATTTATTCCTCACACTTCACTTCAAAATCTATTTTATATACAATGCATTCATTATGCATGCTGAAATTGCAGCCAAAGTAGGAAAACATCCAAATATCTGTCAATAAAAATATGTGAATATTTGCTAGTGTTAGAAACAGTCACTCTTCCACAGATGACTTTTTTTTCTTTTAAATTAAGGTTACTGGCCAACCCAAACATGATCTCACCCATAGCTTTAGTTTTTGTTTTTTTTTTAAAATTTTTTTGTAATTGTCTTTCCTTGAGTTAAATTAACAATCCAGTTAGCAGCAGATATAACACAGGCATTCAAATCAATATAATATTTATATCCCCTAAATTTAGATTATTTCCCAATAAAGAAACATGTTTTTTCTCCATTTGACCTCAAAGGAAAAAGAGAAAGCCTCAAAGCTCAGAATATTTATACTGCTCTTATTGAAAGTGAAATAATATCTGAATGTGAGCCAAAGCCACATTTTTTTTTTCATCTAGAATAGGGAAAAGAAGCTTTCTGGATGTCTTTTAATCCTGTTTCTGGGAAAGGAGTAGCTGATTGTCACTTTGACAATTCTGAATCTGATTCTGTGAGGTGAAACAGAGAAGGGATAAAAACTACCTGTTATACATATCCTCCCACTCTACTGCTGCATGATTAATACAAAACTAACATGATTTACTCATAGTGAAGCTGTTACTGAAACCCCAGGGGTTCCATCTAGGTCCTGCTGCTCACCATACAGAAAGCAGATAACTGAGACAGTAAGTACCGCTAAGGAAGAAAGCTTTAATTGGGTGCTACAGCCAAGGAGATGGGAGATCAGTCTCAAATCCATCTCTCTGACTGACTAAAATTAGAGGTTTATACAGTAAGGAAGAAATGTCACCATGTATGGGAAAACGGGAATTAAAGAAGAGTAAGCAAGAGGAGTTGGTCAACAGGAAGTAGGTGGTCAGTTAGGCAATCGTGATGGGTGAGGGGTCTGACATCTCATTGTCCAGATACAGTGATCTGGTCAGTTTTAGCCCCCAATACTATCCTGGAAGCCTGAGGGTTGGTTTCCTGACAAAGGAACTCAGGTAAGACAAATGTAGGTAAGACAAATGTAACCTTCTCAAGTTTTAAGACTAGGAGAATCAATTTCCATGTTTATTCAAATAAACATCAGCTCTATGGAACAATTGAGTTTCAAAGCTAATCAAATCTAGAATTTACAAAAGTCTTGAAAACTCTGTGATTTCTCTAAATGTGTCCTCTAAAGTCAAACCCCCAACTGCAACTTTTGATTTTAAAATTAGAAATTATATTTTGATTGTCCACATGGCAGCTCAACTAATTTAGCATGCTGATTTTTAAAAAACTAATCAATCTATATATGTTGTTGTCTAATCATGTGTTTAGCTTTCTACTTGACCCGGGAAACTAAAATATATGAAGTCTACTTGCAAAGAAGGGCAATCAATATAGCTCACAGGGAAAGAACAGTTAGAAATCATTCTATTAAAGAAAAAAAATCACTAGATAAATGGGGAATACATACATTAGGAAGGAGAAAAGGCAAAGGCAACTGGCAACAAGAATGAGGATAGATAAATTGCATTGTTTTAATCAAATAAGTAACATGAAAGTGATATTTCAGGAAGATGAAATTAATAATCTGACCCAGAGAAAGAATGAAATTTGCTGACAGAAAAAAATTCTTTCGAATAAGAAATTAAAGTTTGGATTTATAGTAGTAGAAATGAGATTTTATTTGAAGGAAAAAATCTATAGAATATGGAAAAGAGCTTGATGAGGAATATAAAAAATAAATACAAGTCAGTAAGAATCTAAGATAAACTTTTACACAAGAGAGCCTATGGGTCCAAACCTAGGAAAAGAGCTCATGAGTTTGGGTTAAGAAAAGGACTGGAATAAGACAGCCAATGTAGCTACAAAGATGATCTGGAAGGTGGCACCCAAGGACAAAGCCAGAGAACAGAGTAGGATGCACCATAAAACTGGAACATCAATCAAAAGAAATTCAGGCTTCAGATTGGCATCATTTTTTCTGATACTTGATTATGATTCTTATTTTAAAGCATTCTGTTTGTGGCTAAAAATGAACATTTATCTTATGCCTCAGTAAGTTAGAAAAGAATAGGGGAAAAAGTAGAAATAAGAATATAATAAAAAAGAATAAATTAAAATATGAAATAAATGTGGAATTAAAAAAGCCAAAATTAGCTTTATATCTGTTTAAGATACAAAGGAGTAAGTCACTGAAAAGAAAAACAAAAAATGGGGCATTTCATAGATTTTAAAGCAGTATATTGATAGCATAATATTATAAACATCTTGATAATAAATTTAAAAAATATAGTAAGATGAACATTTTCTGGAAATAAACACATTTCTGCTAAAATTGAACAAAGAATAGAAAATCTGAATAATTATATATCTAATACAGAAATTATATTTGTTTAAAAAATGCATTGGTTACCTCTGAAAAAATTAAGAGAAATATCAGTAATCTTCTGCAAAATATTCTAGTGATAAAAAAAGAGGAAACAGTTTCCAAACCATTATATGAAACCAGTATATAATTGATAGCAAAATTTTACAAGTTATAAAAAGAAATAAATATTTTCATGATGAGATAAAAACTTTTTAAAGTAACATATTAACTACCATCAAGTTACCAAAAGGATAATGTATCTCAAATGAGGTGTTTCTCTTTTCAAAATGACACTTTGTTTTAATAGAAAAAAAAGTCTATGTAATCCACTACATAAATTAAAAAAAAAAACAGAAAAAATTATATGATCATCTCATTAGACAAATAATAAGCACTTGAGAAATTTAAGGCAAACTTCCAAAATGATTCTTACCCCTCTATAATCTCTTCCTCTAGAATGTGGACTGAACTTATGAATATAATGTGATACCACCCCAATGATTTAGTTACCTTAATTGACACTAAAATACAGAGATTAGGTGGGCCTTACCAAATCACATGAACCTTTTAAATCTGGGTTTAGAGGTCGGAGACTGGGGAAGTGAGAGATTCAGAATACGAGGATTTGACATCCCAGCTTGAAGACAGAGGAAACAACATGGCAAGGAACACAGAGAGCCTCTAGAAGCCAAGACTGGCCCCCCAGCTGCCAGCCAACAACAAACTGTATTCTGACAATGACAAGAATAAGTTTCAAAGCACAAATTTTCCCAGAGCCTCCAGAGGACAATTCATCCCAGTCAACACCTTGATTTCAATCTTATGGTACCCTGAGCAGAAAACCCTGCCACTTCTGACCTACAGCACCATAAGCTTATAAATGTGTATTGTTTTAACCTACTAAGTTTGTGCTAATTTGCAGCAATAAAATACTAATACAAATATCCAGAAATAGGTAAACAATATCTATAAAAATCTATAGCAAACATCATCCTAATGATGATTAATTAAAGGTGTTTGTCCTGAAATTATTAATGAGACAGGAATGTTGTTACTACATTGCACTGGAGTCCTAGTGTCAGTCTAACAATCTAGAAAAACAACTGAGATGTATAAGAAATGGAAAGAAAAAACTAAACTGTCATTTTTGCAGAGGACATAATTGTATATGTAGAATATCCAGAATAATTAACACAGAAATTATTAGGGTTAATAACTAAACTTAAATAGCAGCTAGAGAAAAGATCAGCATGTGAAATTCTATATGCAAGCAAAAAGTGGATAATAAAAATTTTACCCTGAAATTTTCTTAAAAGCATAAAAATTTTAAACAACTGGGAATAAATGTTTTGTTTTTTTTTTTTAATTTTCAGAGAACTTATAAAAGACAAATAAAGGGTGATATGGTCAAGGATTATTAGAAGAGTCAATATTTCTGATATTCTCCAAATTAATCTATATATTCATTTCAATTAATCACAATAGAAAACTTAGTACATTTGTGGTGTGTTTGTGTATGTAAATTGACAAGTTGAGTCTACACACATACACAGACACACAAACACAAGGGGCAAAAATACCTAAGAAAATGCCAAAAAGGCATAAAGTAGGAGGATTTAACAAGATATAATGAAGTTAGGCAAATGGACCAACGCAAGAAAGAGTCTCCAGAAACAAACTCAAACATACAGAAACTTTTGATTTATGAATAAGATAGTACTGCTGAGCAAAGTAGTGGAAAAGAAAAGTCTTATCAATAAGTAATGTTGATTTACTTGATATCCACAGGGGTAAAAACAGCAACACTTCACATCATTTGCAAAAATAAATTTTAAATGGACCTAAAATATGTTATGAATTGAATTGTGTTCCCCATGAAATTTTTATGTTTAGATCTTAACCACCATTGCCCCAGAATTTGATCACCTTTGGAAATAGAATCATTACAGATATAATTAGTTAAGATGAGGTCATACTGGAGAAGGATGGGCTCCTGATGCAATGTAATTGGTGTCCTTATAAGAGGATGAAATTTGGACACAGACCGGCACACAGGAAGAACACCATGTGAAGATGAGGGCAAAGATCAGGATGATGCTTCTCCATGTAAGGGAACGCCAAATATTGCCAGAAAACTACCAGAAGCTATGGGAGAGAGAGGCATGGAAAAGGTTCTTCCTAACAGCCCTCAGAAGGAACCAACCCTGATGACACCTTGATCTTGGACTTCTAGAGTGCAGAACTTGAGACAATAAATATCTTTAAGCCACCCTGTTTGTGATACTTTGTTATAGCAGTCTTAGTAAATTAATGCAAAATCTAAATAGTACAAAATATAAGATACAGAAAAGTCTAAAAGATAACATAGAAGAAAATCATCACTTTTGCTTCAGGAAAAAAATTTTAAACAGGACACGTATATCACTAACCAAAGAGAGCAACTAACAGATGAAAAAACTGGTAAGCTGAACAACATTAAGTATTTTCAGTAATAGTTAAGAGTAAAACATCAAGGAAAAAGTCTACAGTCGGGAAGTCTACATTTAAATACCTAAAAGTGAAAAAAAAAGATACACAAATATTTCCTAAATATCAGTTAGAAGCAGATAAATGCACAACAGAAAAATAAGAGATTTTAATAAGTACCTTAAATAAAACAATTTCAAAATGGCCAAAGAAAGTTTTTAAAAGAGCTCAACATCATTAGCCACAGTGGAAATTCTTGTGAAAGGCATAATGAGATATTAGTGCACATTGACAAAAATGACTAAATGTAAAAAAAAAAAAGTCTTGTTTTTGGTGAATATTTAGCACTGTATCTCTCATACACTGATAGTAAGGGTGCAATTTCATAGAAACATTACCTCCTAATTTAATTTACATGTGCCCTGTGATCCAGTAATTCTCCCCCTAAAAATATATGTGTAAGTGCTCCAAGAAAACATGTGCTATAATGCTAATAGTTGTGTTATCCATAATAACCAAAATCTGGTAGCAATTTAAATGTCTACCAATAATTAAATGTAAATGTATTGTTATGTAGTCATACCAAAATGCTATGCAGCAATGAAATTTAGCAAACTACATTTAACAATACGGGTGAATCTCAGACCAAAATTTTGAGCAAACAAATCGGATCTCTTATAAACCTACTATTTGATTCCATTTGTATACATTTCTAAAGAGCATATAAGTAATATACAGTGAATTAATTCAGAAAATCGTACTGTTTCTTTCTCAAATATCATATTGAGACCTTGGGTGGTCCGTAGCTGGCTTAAAATTATGAGAGAAAACACTAGAAAAGTGATTTTTTTATATTGTGTGTTTGTGTATATATATATATATATATATATATATGTGGTGTATACACACATATATATATATATACACAAACACACAATATAAACAATCACTTCTAGTTTCATAATCACAGTGTGTGTATTTGCGTTTGCTCAACCTGTGGGATGAGAGTAGTTCACAAACCAAGAACTAGGGCTGAAGTTGTTGCTGTTGTTGCAATTGCTGTCCACCCAGAAATGATCCAGATTCCAGGGCTATCCGAATGTTCCTCTGTCCTGAGGTCACCATAGATTAGTACTGCTTCTATTTTGCTCCATTGGAAAAAAGTTTGGTAACAGTCTCTCCAAGATCAATAAGGAAATTTTTTTTTTCAATTAAAAAGTTCTTCCTTTTACTTATGCCCTCGACTGGACCTTGTACATCTCCTACTCCTGTCATCTAAACGTATCCCTCCAACCCCTAAAATTCCTATGATGACAAACCTTGGCACCTTATGTCTCCACAAGGGTTTCTCCCAGATTTTGTGCCAATTATCAACCACCACTCTAGATTTATCTATTCTCTATAAAGCCCATGGCATCTCCCGATTTGGATTCTAACTTTTCCAGAACCAGTGTTTCTTAGGATATTTTATAGTTTCATATCCATAACGTTAAAAAGTAATTTTATATATGTGTCTCCTCATTATACTGTGAAACTAGGAATAGAATTTAATGATTTTGCATGCCCTACATCTAGTACTATGCCTGAACATATTTAGGAACTTAATAAATATATATTGAATGCATAATCTTTGCATGTTTTATGAGAAAAATATTGCTAAACCCAAAAAAGTACAAATTAAAGACATACATTTAATAGGTTGATTGACATTTCTTAATATCTTAACTTCTATAAAAGGAGAACACCTTCACATGAAGAAGCCAGATTAATTTCTACTTCAAGTCACTTGGACTTCCCTTGAGCTTTTTCAGATTATTAACATAGCCTATAGAAATGTCTGGTTAGAAAAATTATTCATAAGTTATTGTTCCCTCTTTTTTAAAAAAATCAAGTAGGAAATTGTGTGGAATCCTCTGTCTTTAGGGCTTGTTTAACAACAAATAATAATATTTAATAAAAATCTCTGGGAAACTTGTGCATCCTATAGGAAATGATTAAAATTATCTAATTAATAGGGAAAGGTAGTAGAAATTGCAATAATGAAAACAAAGCAAGGAGAATGGATAATGTGTTATATGTATTATGTTCATTGACAAAATGCTTTAAAAAATGAGGAAAATGTATTTTTTAATGCTCAAGATATAGGATTTGGCAAAAAAAAAAAAAAGAAAAAGAAAGATCAAGTCAGCACAATGTTCACAAAATGATATCAATAGATCTAAAATCATTCTATATATTTGTGTATATACATTCAAAGGCATTGAACAAATCCAGGAAAAAATACTCCAAAGGCTGAACAAAGCATACTGGGAAGGAATGGTATTTGACAGTAGGGTTGTGAGAATATTGCCTTAAATATGTATTTTCTGTTTGTTTGTTTGTTTGTTTTGGTTAAGTATATCTATTTGTGTGTGTGTGTGTGTGTGTGTGTGTGTGTGTGTGTGTGTGTACTACATAGAACTTTCAAGTTATTTAGAGTTACAGAAAGTGAAGAGGCAGAGAAAATTGATAATGGGCACACTGAAATGTGGAGAACTGCCGATGTCTAGCTTCCTTAATCCCTTCTTGCTATCCAGAGTTGGAAACCTATGCCAAGTAACATTTTTGGACAGGAAATGGTCATTATTTTATAGCCACAATACCAATCACCACATCAACACTGTCTTCTTCCTAAAGTGATTGAAAAAGTTCCTTTACACTATTTCTTGCCAAGAAATGGAATCTTCTACTATATTTAGAATTGTTTTAAAATAAGAATAGAAAAAAGGAACAAGGTGGCAAGTTGGCAGTGTTTCTTCTACAACTAAGTAAAGAAAAAAGCTCACAACTCTGGAACTAAAGGGAATCCTGCTCTTGCTTCTTTCCCAGGCTCAGCTCCCTCTGGGAAAATGGCCCTTTGGGAGAAACCCTAAGTGGCAGCCACCCAAACTCTCTCTCTGTAGACTAAAGGAATGGGCAAATTGCCCCAGTAGAGAGAAAAAAATGGCTTATAGAAGAAGTGTTCCCTCCCCCATTCAGCAAAAGCACCAGCCCTCAGGGAAATATTCCTTGTGGGCCAAATGCCAGGACAGAAGAACTAGAAACCCCTGCTTAAGATTCAATTGAAAGTAAGGTTCTATTCAAAGACATTGGAATGTAAAAAAAAAAAAAGAAAAGGAGTTTATTGGAATGTGAAGGAAAGGGGGAAAACATTGAGGCAGGCAGATACATAGAAATGACAGACAAGATCTGTTAAGACAGAGTTTATAAAAACTTTCTACAGTGACTAATAATATTACATGGAGCTAAAGGCAATGAGAGAATTGTGATTCTTTACAGAGAGAAAAAAGATTCTTATTTTATGTTAGTGATGGTATTTCCTGGACGTCTGCAACATTTTTTCTTCTTTCACATTCCAACAAGAGATTTTTCTTTTCAATTTGTTTTTCCTTTAGAGTCAGCTATATTTGGAAACAAACTATACTTTGATACATGATTTACTTATGTGATAGGACCTTGAGACACTCCTTATTTTCATGGACAGATTTGAATCATCTGGAAGAATCTAGAGGGAAGTAATTGGAATAATTAAATAAATGACCTATGTATTTCACTCTCTCATTCTCCCACACCACCTCCAGTGACCAAGTCACAGCCCTTTAAAAGAAAAGAGGAATTCTATGAGAATAACATGAAATGTGTAGCAGCTTACTGACGGAAATTGATAGGGGTGAGGTTCTTTAGAAATGAATCTTTGAGAAGGCAAAGTGTTTACTGTGGTACCCTTTCTGGTCTAATGACGCCCAGTTTGCTTTCAGTTATTATAGCTCTATTGCAAAATATCCTTACAGCAAAAGAAAGAGGCTAGGAAGGGAGGTGAAGTTGGAGTGAATGTCTGATTGCCAATGGGAGCTTATATCATCAAAAAAAATCTTCCTGGCCTCTTCACTTGAAAGATAAAGGAAAGCGTGCATTGCATTTGAACTCTCCAGTCTGGTACTAGGTTGTGTCTTCTGACTTCAAATAATTAGCTCATTCCTTTTATCTGACCACACACGAAGTCTCTGAGCCAGATAAGAAATCATTTTATGGGAAAAAGGGAGTTTCCCAAGGTGTTTATAGCATAAAGCGTATAAGAATAACGTATAGAAGTATGGGAAAAATAAGAGACTTGGAACTTACTATTTATTTTTCTTCTCAGAATCTCAAGTTATTTCTCTATCCTTAATAAGATTGTGATGCTGAACCTACTCAAAGAGAACAGAAAAAGAAAAATTAATACCCTCAGATAAATAACAAATTGATTGCAAAATTAATATATGATCCAGGGAGTGTTAGGCACTATGTCATTGCACAAGTTCAAAATCGGCCCTTTATTATTATTCTCTAATGATTTCATACAGAAAAGCTTATGGTAATATGTAAAGTTCTGCTGCAATACTGGAAGGCATTATCTATTTGTTTTTAATTACCTTACGCAATATTATTCCAGCTTTGTGCTCTGATGGCTTCTGTTCAAATGAGAATTTTTTTTTTTTTAGCAGATTGCCTTTGGGAGTTACAGCAATAGTGAGAAACGGTACACAGATAACAATACTCAGAGTGATAAGAGCTTAAAGTACAGTAATTATAATTAGCAAAGAGATAATGACATTTGAAAAAAAAGATGAACAAAAAAACGGCAAGACCATGTGAGCATGAATTTACCGAGTTTGTTGTGCCCAAATGTTCTTCCAATAATCTCTGTAAAACTATAGCTCTGGAGCTCTGCTTCTGAGATTCAAATTATTTACAATTATGCAAAACTAACTCACTGGAAAAAGACATGTGCAGGGCAGAAAGATTATTTGCAGAAGCACCATGCTAACTAAAAGTTGAAAGGTCCATATAAAGAGCCCTAAGGCCCTTAAAACCTGGTATTACGAATGGCTATTGTACACCAACCACTGTAAGTTCTATTTCAGCTTTAAAATATAAATACCATGGAAACTGTCATGGTTTCAGAATTTCTTCACAGAAGAGGCTTAAGAGCTGCAAATTGCCTGGAAAGGGGAATTGCATACGGCGATGAAAGATTTGGAAGCCCACTGACTTCTCTTGTTTTGTATGATATAAATATACAAATATAGTTTTAGTATAGTGTTAGTAGGAAGTCTAAAACATATTTTGAAATACTATAAAAATATTTCATACTTAATTTATTAAATGTGAAATAAAACAAGGATACAATTATAAGCATATTATATTTACTTCAGTGTGATAATCAAGATTTCTAGAATCAGAATATATTTCTTTCTTTCCAATAGCTAATTATTTTAGTGACAAATAGTTTCCTCTCTGTCCATATTAGGTTATAAAATCAATTAATTTAAGGACTTACACAAGTAATTTTGCAGTTTTTATGTCAATTATTGTGGTCAGTATTCATATTATTTCCCTTTTACTTTATGTGAGTTGCCTTATGCAAATATACCTCCTAGCTATAAATGATGTTAATATTAATTATCAACAAAATAAATTACAGTATTCAAGAGGAAGTGCCAAAAAGTCCACTTTTGAACTGAGTATGCTTATAAAATAGGTCACCATTCTGGTGGCCTCAGATATGCAAGAAATCAACTCAACTGACAGAAATGACACTCTGTACTGCTGGAATCTTTAAGCTGGAAAGAAATCCAGTCTTGAAAGGTAGAGTCTACAGGTCATCACTAAAAGAAGGGTCAGAAAGGAGATCTCGGCTAGTGAGGGAAAGTGGTAAGGTCCTATCTTAAGATTAAAGATGATGGCTTCAGTCTACATCATCATTTGTCAGCTTAGAAGAAGGACAGAAAGAAACAAAGGAGTCCATCACCATAATAATGGTATAAGTATATGATATTCTAATATTTGTTTATTTTATTATTAACCATTTCTCTGTTTACTTCAGTATTTGAAGTCTCAGTACTAAATAGTGATGTGTCTACTTTTAAGAGAAGAAAAAAATTAAATATAAGAAGAAAATATGTTCTGGCACAGTTATGTTTAGTGAATAAAAGAAACAACTCCAATACAAGCATATGGAGGAGTAGCCATGAAAAATTCGAAAAGAGACCCGGGGTCATTCCTAGATGATGTTAAGTATGATTTGAGCTTTGTTATTGGGGTAGGACTATAAGTTATTCTATCCAGCCCCTTTTCAATTGGTATACCTTGAAAGAAAATCCAAATAAAATTAACTGTTCTTTTTCTTGTCTTCCTTTGGAAGTCTTTGCTTTTCTTAGACGTCTTGGCACTCGAAATGATTAAAAATATGCATTTATTGAGATTTAGCCTCTGTACATAGCTAGGTGATGATAATTTGATATTTCAATCTATCTCAGAGAAACATGGAAACATCAAAATTATTGCATTTACAGATAAAAAAATGGAAAAGTAGAACTGAGATATATCCAAGATTATACAATGTGATGAAACTTGGATTTACTTGTGTGGTTGCTGATTTTTAAGTCCATGATATCCCAATAGATCACCCCAAATTAAAGGTAAGTGTCATGGGAAAATTATTAAATCCAAGATACACAAGCTATAAGAGGTGAGACTTGTTTTATTATTCAATTGTTTATTTGTTTGCTTATTCAAAGAAAAATTTATTGATTTATTTTTTGTCCATTTATTTCACAATATGTATTGTAGTATACCAGACATATAGTTGAAATATAGAAAAATAAAATCTATATCTCTAGTTGAGATATAGAAAAATAAATATATAAACAGACATAAAAACAAAACATTTTAATTATGTGATTTCTGAAAGCATTTTTGGTATAGTTTTCCATGCTCAGCCAGTGAGAGATAAACATTCATTAGAATTATCAGTCTGTCAGAATTCTAAGCAAACCCAGAATGGGTCAGCAAAGAAAACATTGTTCCATTCTAAGGATTTTGCAGGTTCATGTAAGCACTATCTAAATAAAGCAAAGAAAACCCATTAAAGCATGCACACATTTGCACAAATTTTTAACACATGTACACCAGAGACATTCTTAACGCATACTGCATCTTCTAAGAATTCCTATTTTTTATTTTACTGACTATAATACACTGTGGCTTTATCAAGACAAGTTATTTAATTTGCGAAATGTTGTACAATGGGAAGAGAAGGAATAAATTTTAAAATCATGAAGATTCTTTAGTCTGTTTCTTCCTTTGAAGGCACATTATTCTTCAATAGGGTAAAAAATATCTCTCAGAATTTGTATTTTTTAAATCTCGTGAGCCTACATTTATGCCAACTCAGAGCCTATAAAAATTCTCTGAGCTAAAACATCTGGAAATTGACTATGTCATTCATAAGTTGAAATATGGCTTTATTTATTTTAAAATTGCTAGAAGATGGTTTTTCATATTTCTACACACTAAAAATACCTGACAAAAGTTTCTGCGGCCTTTGCAATGTGTATAAGTTGATTATAGTACTTTGTTGACAGATTGCTGGTTTCAAAGTCAGAATGACTAGCACATTGATTTTCTTGTGAGTGATTAAGTCACCCCACCTAGCAGCCTCAGTGAGACCTATGCATCCAAGCCAAGCGATGCTCCTAACAAGGCCTGACACTTGCACTCACCATCAATAGATATTAGGGACTACTTGCAGGAATTTTGGTATTGCCATTTCAAAAAAAAAAAAATGCCCATGATTACTATCAGACACCCTGTCATCTCATAGAGTTAGCTATTTTTTTTTTCTGGATTTTGGAGAACAGTCTACTACTTGAAATTTGATAGGTTGTCTCATCTGGTGCTCACAATACCTCCATAAGAAAGAAAAAGTGGTCATTTATAAAATGAGGTAACAAGTTCAATATGATCAAGTGGCTTAGGTATAGTCACTGCTGATGAAGACTCCCAGGCCTGTCAGCTAGGATGGTGTACTTGAGCAATGAATCTGGGAAGCTGACCTTCAGTATATCCTGAGTAACATGTTGAGGCAACCTGATGTACAGGAAAACATCTAGGCAGAGTTTCTGTAACTGCAGAGAGGTGCCAAGAGAGGATGAAAAATAAAACCTATAAGGATGCCAAAAAGAAACTTTTTAAGAAACCTGAGCAAAACTGTGAAGCCTTTTCAGCAACAGCCAGGGCTCTTATGGAGAACTGAAGTCCAGAGAACCTTGACCAATTCATGAGAATGGATGATAAATTATGAACCGAATCAATATTCTCTTCCAAAACAAAAGCTGAGACATGCATTATAGATTTAGAAAACACAGAGGCAAGAGAAATCAGAGTACAGGATCACAGTTGAACCTTAGGTATTCTTGTCTGGCCTCTTTTTAATTTGTTTTACAGATGAGGAAAATAGGGTATAAGAGTTAAACAGATAGCAAACTTGATAAAGCAAGCTAATGGCGGCACTTAGACTGAAAACCTGATTCTTCATCTTAATCCAGTGCTCTTCTTACCTCACAGCTCAGCTCTAACTGTCTGCTACATATAGGAAGGCAGTTACAGCTTCTAGAAATTCCTCCCATATTCTGGTTCCAGAATTTTTGCATTAGATACACTACAGGGTGGTCTTCTCTTTCTGTCTCTCTCAAGATTGCAGTGCTTTGGACTGGGTTTGTTAATGAAAATACCGAAAGGTCTTGCATTGAAGTGCAAAACAGCCATTATTCACACATATGTGAGACAATATCAGACTTAGATCTCTGTTTTATTTATGGCTTAGATCAAAAGAATAAAGTTCTTACAAAGCCTCTTCACAAGTGGTAGTACTTGTCAAAAAAATTATCTCTTTTGCTCACTGACTAATCAGGTAGAGCATCTATGAGTACATGCTTCAAAGGAGGTGCATTTTCATTGTGTCCTGGCATAAATACAGCGTATGTGGCAGCCACATGGAATTTCAGGGATTTTCCCAGTACCAAAATAAATACTAGCTTTCATGTTTTTTTTTTAAAAAAGGAGGAATGACAAGTATCTTTGTAATTTTCCCTCTAATTTATTTAATACTTTTCATGAGAAGGTCTAAAAGAAAAACTGAGGTGGCACAGAAATTGCTGTTGGCAATGATTTAAGTACGTGCGCTTTGGTAACACAGAGAAGCATAAACATGATAGAAACTATATTTTTAAATACTTTGTGTTCTTCCAGAGGAAAGAAATTTGGCAATTTAACTTTAATTGATGCCCTGAGAATATAGCTGGAATGTAAAATGAAAGCCAAGAACCCCCTACCAACAAATCAACTCAGAAATACATCCTATGTAAAGAACCTTTGGAATCAGAACTAAAAAATAACTTTACAGACAACGTTAAGCTATATACTTAAAAGTAGGCACAACTAAGTATAAAGAGGTATTATTATTATTATGTTTTTCAGATGGAGTCTCTCTCTGTCACCCAGGCTGGAGTGCAGTGGTGTGATATATGCTCACTGCAACCTCTGCCTCCCAAGTTCAAGCGATTCTTCTTCCTCAGCCTCCCGAGTAGCTGGGATTACAGTCCCATGCCAGATTATTTTTTGTATTTTTAGTAGAGACAGGGTTTCACCATGTTGGCCAGGCTGGTCTTGAAATCCTGACCTCAAGTAATCCGCCCAGCTGAGCCTCCAAAAGTGCTGGGATTGTAGGTGTAAGGTACCCTGCAATAGGCCTAAAGAGGTAATCTTAATTTATGACCTGGTGCTAGGAACTCGGTGGTTGTTAAATGAATATTTGATGATGAAGCTAAAAGAATTCACTGCAACAATGAGAATACACGTAGATAAACAGATGCACACATTTGTAACATCTGTTGGGTAGTTATTCAGTGCCAGATACTGCACGAAGTGTTTTAAATGCACTATCCAAAATTTTCTTAAATAGCCAGTGTTAAAACTAAAAAGCAAATTCAGGGCTGCTAACTTTGAAGACCAAAAATTAAATTACTAAACTGTAGTGACCTCTTTTTATTATCAAATCTACCATAAATAATTTTCCATCAATTCTTTTTGCTTAGAAACATCAAAGGAAATAATTCTTGCTATTTCTATTTTAATAACATATGCAAAAAAAATGTCCTTTGCTTTCACAGCTTTTCTTCCAGGGATACCACATTCAAATTCACCACGGATAAGGGTTGAAAAAAAATTTACAAGAGAGAAAGACTTGCACAGCCAAATCAGTCTACAGTTTCACAAATACATAAAATGGTATAATTTAGTATGTCTGACTATTCCATTATTAGACGTATTAAAAAGATGGATAGTGTCAGCTCCAGGGTATGTTATCTCTTGTTCAGTCTCAAGCTAGCATGTCTATAGTGCACCAAATGATTCATAATATAGACCTTTAGAGAAGCTGAATGTAACTAAAACATGAAATAGGTTTGGCATATTAAACTAATCTGCTTTGGTAAGTGACCTTTCTGCAGCAGGCAAGCAACTATTCCATGGGTGCCCTGTTGACGTTTTCACTCTGATAGGCCTCGTCACACAGTTTTATCTTGTTTCCCCAGCTCCCTTCCATTGATCATTTCTCTCTTGGGATAATGTGCTCAACAGTTATGTAAATCAAAGTGAAATATTCTTAGTTATCTACTTTTTCTGTTACATTGTCTGGATTTGGACATAATTGCTCCTTTTGTTCATTATTCCATGTTGATGAAACTTAAAGTGAAAATGTAAAACAAAAAACAGTGTCTACCATAGATACAGACGTCAGTACATAAGAAAATATCCTAAGTTTCTTTGTTCTGGAGAAATTTCTGGAAATATCTGTTAAATTCATGATAAATTTCACCCAGAATTACTGATTTCCAAGTACATGCAGTGTTGAGAGCTGGACTCTAGAAGTGTTTTGTTCTACTACCCCTCTGTGTTTTCTTTTTCCTCTTTTCACTTAGATATCAGGATTAAAATAAATTTATTATTATAAAGTTGAAAAATATACAAATATCCAGGAAAATAATTTTAAAATCAGGTATTATCTTATAGTTCAAAAATAGTAAGTTATCATTTTATTGATGTTCTCCCAGACATTTTTAGTGCATGTGTTTGTGTGTTTGTGTGTGTGAGTGGTTGTTTTTATACCTAAACTGGGATGATAAATTGCCTTGTTATTACTTGGAGCACATTTTTCTCACTCATCTCTATGACAAGTTCATTTTGCATATTTATTAATTTTCTATGCCTACATATAAAATTACCTCAGAATTTAGCAGCTTAAGAGAACCTGTATTTATTGTCTTATGGTTTATGTGGGTATGATAACCTGGGTTCTCTAGACCAAGGAGCCACACAAGGCTAAGACTATGGTGTCAGCCAGGGCCAGAGTCATCTCAAGGTTCAGTTGGAGCATGGCTCAATTCTAAGCCATCTTAGTGATTCTTTGTGGGTTGCTGGATTGAGGGCTTCAGTTCTTCACTGTCTGTTGGCTGGTAGCTACCAAAGAGATGAAAATTAAACATGAGACCCTATTTTTTACCAAAATATTAAAGTGATTAAAATGATAAGAATACCCTGATTGAAGCTTTTCTCTCATGTATTGTTGATGGGATTGTATATTAGCAATATAATTCTGGATTGAGATTGGGAAGAATGTTTGGAAGAATGCAGCTACCTTCAGTTCCTTGACACATGGGTCTCCTTATTCAGAAACGCAGAGCATGGCAACTTGCTTCATCTGAGCCAAATAGTGAGAAGATCCAGAGAAAATGTGTGAGCAACATGGAAGCCACAATTTTTCAAAGCCTAATTTCAGAAGTCAAAACAAACCATCACTTTCATTGCATCCCATTATTAGAAGCAAGTCGCTGTGTCCAGCCACCCTTAAGTGGAAGGGATACACACAGGGCGTTACAAGAAGGTGGGCTTATGGGGACCCTGTTAATTGTTAAGCATAATGCACTTTCTTTTACAAATATTCTTTAGGCATTCATTATTATTTCCTTAAGATGTTTACTGACTGGAGCATCATTTGCTGAAGATGAGCACAAAATTTAAGACTCTTGAAATATTCTTCCAAATCTCAATCCAGAATTATATTGCTAATATACAATCCCATTAGCAATATATTAGAGAAAATTCCACTTCCTTTAACCCTCACTGAGGGTATTATTGTCATTTTAATCACTTTAATATTTTGGTAAAAAATAGGGCCTCACATTTAATTTTCATCTCTTTAGTAACTCATGAAGTTGAATGTTTTTGTTTTACATATGCTTATGAGACATTTGGGTATTTTTCATTATCAATTGTTCATATTATGTTCAATTTTCTTATTGAGTCATGATATATTGATTTATCAGTGAACTGTATATTAAGAATATTATGCAGTTGTCTACCTTATGTCGAGTTAACATTGATTGCAAATTTTTCATCTGCCTTTTCAGCAAATAAAAGTCTTTATATATTAACATATTTTCTTCATTGAAATCTAATACAACAATTACCCACTTGTGTTCCAATGATGTTTCTTGCAACAACAGAAACACATAAAAACAAACAGATACAAAACATATTTAAAATTGGACAATTCAGTGCTTTGCAAGATCCCACAGAAGCAGAGAGGTTCAGAAACTGAGGTTTTTGAAAAAGTACAGAAAAATAACTATGCAGCTAGAAGCTGCCTAACCTTAAAATGAAGAATTTACTTAAGGAGAGAGAACAGTATTTTATACTACAGGCCAATTTTCCATGTGGCCTTGGATCAACCCAGTTCCTCCCTATTTTCTGCTTGTAGTTCTTGGGAATAACTGTAGAACTTGCTGGGAATGCAAAATCCTGAGATAAGGAGGGATTGACCAGAACGGCCTGAGCAGTGTTCCAGTCCCCCCTAGAAACAGGATGTTCTTCAATGCTTCAGCTCAGCACTTTATGTGACTGCTGGGGTATAAAACCTAGGACAGGTTACTTTCTAGGTTTCCTCAGCTGTGGTTCAAGTGGAGCAAGTGCAGACCAGCCTCCATCTACCCTAGGCAGCTTTCCTGAGCCTTTGGAAACCAGTTTCTGTTGTCTCTATTACCTGTCTGTAAGTAATAAATCCATTTCATGTAAGTTGTGTATGTTGGTCTTCTGTCTCACTGGACTCAGACAAGTTGGTAATCAGTGCACAATGAACCGTTTTTATACAAACAACTGCCAAGTGATGTTAAACTTTGAAAAGAGAGAGGAAAAAAGAGTAGCAGCCTTATTTTATTATTGTCACTACAAGTAAAACTTGAGCCAGCAATCTACATTATTTAGCAAAAATTTTAGTGTGAGATCTGTATATCTTTATGCTGTGACACTGAATGAAGAATGGCCATAAGTGGTCTAAAGCTTTTGATGGTTAATACTGTGTGTCAAGTTGATTGGATAGAAGGATACAAAGTATTGATCCTGGGTGTGTCTGTGAGGGTGTTGCCAAAGGAGATTAACATTTGAGTCAGTGGGCTGGGAAATGCTGACCCACCCTTAATCTGAGTGGGCACAATCTAATCAGCTGCCAGTGTGGCTAGGATATAAGGAGGCAGAAAAATGTCAAAAGAGAGACTGGCCTAGCCTCCCAGCCTACATCTTTCTCCCGTACTGGATACTTCCTGCCCTCAAACATCAGACTCCTAGTTCTTCAGTTTTGGAACTCAGACTGGCTCTCCTTGCCCTTCAGCCTGCAGAAGGCCTATTGTGGGACCTTGTGATTGTGTGAGTCAATACTTAATAAACTTTCCTTTATATATATATCTCTCTTCCCTTAGTTGTGTCCCTCTAGAGAAACCTAATACAAATACCAACTTGACTACCATACATGTTAAACATATTCACACAATTATAAGACAATGTTGGAAGATATCATCTAAAGTTCTAACTAGCCAATTTGATTCATAATTGAATTTTATTAATGAATTTATATTTATTAATATAAAATTGAATTTTATATTAATTTATTAATATAAAAACTATTTATATTAGTAGTTAGCCAATTTAATCAACTTTTTCTTTAAACATTGTAAGCACATTAGTAAATATATGTAATTCTTCTCATTATTCCCCATCCTTAGGGAAAAGCCTCTGCTCTTTTTGCACAGTAGTCAAGGCATAATTTAACTATCATCATATTGACACACTGTCTCTATTCTTACCCTCCTAGATGAGAACAGTCTCTGAATTAACAATTCATTTTTCCACCATTTAATTCAGATTGTTTATTGTCATTTTTAATTGTTTTGTTACTGTTTAAAATGATTATATTTAGAAATGAAACTATATTTTCAAACATATTTGATACACCTGAGAGCTACTAAAGAGCTGCAACGTAAACCTAAACCGATGTGACACCTTCAGATACAAATGGCAGATTGAACACATGTTTTCATCTTTACTCCCTTTTAAACTGTTTAAATGAGTTGTGATAGAACCACACGATAGAGTGCTAAACACTGGTCAAAAACAAGAAGACAGCTGGGAGCAGTCACTCATGCCTGTAAACCCAGCACTTTGGGAAGCCAAGGCCAAAGCCTTGCTTGAGGACAGGAGTTTGAGATCAGTCTGGTCAACATAGTGAGACCCAGTCTTCACAATAACTTTATATTTTTTAAATTAGCCAGATGTGGTGGCATGTACCGGTAGTCTCAGTTATTCCACAGGCTGAAGCAGGAGGATCACTTGAGCCCAGAGTTCAAGGTTGCAGTGAGATATGATAGAACCACTAAACTTCAGTCTAGGTGACAGAGGGACACCCTGTCTCCAAAAGAAAAAAAAAAGGAGACTACTTTAACATACTGCTATGAGCAATTTTTAGCATATATTTAGTGAAAAAAAGCAAGGAAAAAATAAGTGTGAATAATATATCATGTTGCTTAAGGAATATAAGTACATACATATTTAATTTTTTTAAATAGAAAAGTAAAACAAAGCTAACAAGCAAAATTGACTGGCAAAGAGAATGAGAAAACAGAATGAACACAGGATCTAAAATCTTTAAATATACCTTATTTGTATATTTGACTTTGGAACCATATTTTGATTTTAATGTTTTTAAAAATTTAACGCTTTTTATGTTTTAATGTTTTCCACAAAATATTTAAATATTTTTAAAAACCCTTAAAATTAAAAAGATTAAATGGAAGAGTAAATTGAGATTTCAATTCAGTTAACTTTCAAAATGGTAATTTTACACAAGATATCTTGTAGGATATATCCTAAAATAAAATAAACTAGAAGTCTTAAAGTGATTTAATATTCATATCATTATAAGTAATTTTGTATTCTGAAACAAACACAAACACACATATATGACATACAGCATGCTTGTATATACATAAGAATTATATATATATTCTTGAATATATATTACATATACACACATGTGTATATATGTACAATTGGGTTGTTTCATATATGTACATATGAAACATATATACATATATGAAACAACCCCAATTGTCCAATAATAGGAGAACTGTTGAAAACAACAACAGAAAGAACAACAATAACCAAACTATGGTATATCTGCACTTAGGTATATCTATGATTAAAGAAGTTCATAAAATTACTTAAATTTGTTAAAGTGGAAGAGAACAAGAATTTCAGCTTCAGAGAAAAGGTATATAATGAAAAGCACTTTTAAATAAAAACTTAACAATTTAAATATGCATTGGAAATGTTAATGGGAATTCAAGATGCACCAACTGGCTCCCAGTACAGATAAGAATATTTACATTAGAACTTTGAACAACAAAAATACTTAGCTGGCTAACAACTCAAAAGCATCTATTTTACCTCTTCAGGTATAAAATCACATATTTCCAGATTATTTATAATGGTATTATTTGTACTGAAAAATGAGTTAGGAAACAACACAAATGTCCAATAATAGGAGAACTGTAGAAAAAAACCCAGCAACAACAATAACAAAACTTGGCTGGACACCGTGGCTCACACCTGTAATCCCAGCACTTTGGGAGGCCAAGGTGGGTGGATCACTTGAGCCCAGGAGTTTCACACCAGCCTGAGCAACATGGAGAAACTCTGTCTCTACAAAACACACACACACACACACACACACACACACACACACACAGATCAGCTGGATATGGTGGTGCGGGCCTGTAGTCCTAGCTACTCAAGAGGCTGAGGTAGGAGAATCACCTGGGCCCAGGAAGTTGAGGCTGCAGTGAGCCGAGATCGCCTTCACTCCATCCTAAGTGATGGGAATCAAACCCTTTCTCAAAAATAAATAAATAAATAAATAACAAAACAGTGCCATATCTATACCAATGGATCTCAATGTGAGACGATTTTGCTCCTTACAATATAATTGGCAATGTTTGGATAGATTTTTGATTGTCACAACTGAAGGCAAGGATCCTACTGGCCTCTAGTCAGTACAGGCTGGTGAATTTTCCGCAATGTATCTGCAAACTCCTCACAAGAAATAATATTTGGTACAAAATATAATCAGCCCTTCATATCAGCAGGATTCACATCCTCAGATTCAACCAACTACAAATTGAAATATTTAAAAATAAAAACAATACAGCAATAAAAATAATATCAATAAAAATGTCATATAACAACTATGTATATAGCATTTAATTGTATTAGTTATTACCAGCAATCTAGAGGTGATTGAAAATATGTGGAAGGATTTGTGTAGGTTATATTCAAACACTGTGCCATTTTATAAAAAGGACTTGAGTATTCAGGGATTTTGGAATCTGTAGGGGGTCCTGGAACAAATATTGCCTCTCTCTTCTTGTAAATACCAAAGAATGACTGGAGCAATAGTGCTGAGTTTGAGAAACCCTGATGTATACTGCTACTGTACATCCATAGTAAAGAATAAAAAATTGTCTTCCTATATTAATTTAGGCATATCTACAGCTTATAATAAAGAGAAAAATCAAGATATAAAACAGTGTATCCAAAAAACTAACTTTAGAATTTTAGGTGGGATTTGGGATGATAACAATCTTTTTCTTTATATGCCCCCACAGCGACATACACATATGCTTTTATTTCCAAGAAGTAACAATGGAATTGGTAATAATTACTACATATGGAAGAGAGAAAGAACAGGGCAGAGAAAGCAGAAATGGAGGCAAGATTTATCTGTGTATATCATATAACTTACTGAGGAGTTTTGACTTCTGTTAGGGAAAATGCAATACTTGATTAAAATTATTTAACTATCAAAAAGAAAATCAAAATCAAATGTAGAACAATATAGTCAAAGTAAGATATTCTCAGAATACTTGTAAGAGCCAAGAAAATCTTCTAGGTAGATGAACACAAAGGGAAATATGAACAATAGTAGACAAAGCACAGAAAATTATGGGATTAATCCATTTTTAAAAGAAGTTCCTGAAATACAAGACAGAAAAGTGAAGTAGGAAGGACTTTTCAAATACATTCTTCAGTATTTCCCTGAACTTAACAATTGAACCTCTAAATAGAAAGGGACTCTTAAGTATTAAAATGAATAACAGAAATCCACACTAAAGCCCATCATTGTATAATCCATAACACCAAACATTTTAAAAAGGAGGTATGGACTTCAAAGGATTTATTTATTTTATTTATTTATTTTGTTGAGACGGAGTTTCACTCTGTCACCCAGGCTGGAGTGCAGTGGCGCGATCTCGGCTCACTGCAACCTCTGCCTCTAAGGTTCAAGTAATTCTCTGGCCTCAGCCTCCCAAGTAGCTGGGATTACAGGAGCCCATCAACACGCCCAGCTAATTTTTGTATTTTTAGTAGAGACGGGGTTTCACCATCTTGGCCAGGCTGGTCTCGAACTCTTTACCTCATGATCTACCTGCCTTGGCCACCCAAAGTGCTGAGATTACCGGCGAGAGCCACTGCGCCCGGCCCTTCAAACCCTTCAAAGAATTTATACACACACACACACACACACACAACCTACAGAAAGAATTAACTATTCAAAAAGCATCATGCTCTTAAGGACAATACTAGCTGCTAAAGCATTGAAGCAGCATGTCCAAATTCTGAGGTTCAGTGGATGTTGGCAAAAGTGGGGTATGTTAATTCCAGATCTGCTCCTCAATGATGTCTTAGTTTTCTCCATACTCTTTCTCTTTATTTGGCTGCCAGGCACATGTAGAAACTTTTCTGCAGGAATCTAGATGTCAGCAGATCCCCACAGTGCAAAGAGTCAGTCTCAGCTTTTGGAGCTGAGTCCTCACTCTGACCTAAGTTAGATAAGAAGTGGGTATGAAATACTCTTTTATTATTTAAAGCCACTAAAATAATTGAGTAGTTTATTTCAGCAGTTAGCATACCCCGACTGATACACATAGGATTTAGATAAGAAGATCCTACACAGTGGAAAGGTAATGAGAAGTCCAAGATCAAAAGCAGTTAAATAGGACTAAAAGCAATCAATCCAATTGAACAATCCAGGAGAGGAGGTCTCTGGGTGACAAATGGTTAACTGATAGGTTTACAGGGAAATTTACTTTCAAAGACTGTTGGAGTGAATGGGAAGAAAATTCAGAATTGTATTTCTTTTAATGAGGAAATAGTAACTCCAGGAAAAGCAATGAGAAGAAAGATAATCATGGTATATTACTTGGATTAGCAATGACATACATACAGTCAAAATTTGTGATGGAGAATAGAAAGACCATAGGAGATTTGAAGCTCGCTATGTAAAAATAATGCATACATATTAATTGGAAACATGTATGTAAATATCAAAATAGGCAGTTAAGGTTATTGAAAGTGACTATCTCTCTAGAATGAGCAGACTAGTGTAACAGGGAGCGAAGAGGCAACCCGTCTCTCTGTTGCCTCTCCTTATACAATATTTAGTGCTGTTTAACTATGTGTGTGTATATATATGTGTACCTATGTATGTGTGCATGTATAAATGTACAATTTTAGATTAAAATTTAAATTTATTTGATAAAATAAAATTAAGTTTGAGCAGGCAGAATGCGGTTTGGAGCAATAATTATAAGAAAAAGTTGATTGAAAGCAGCCACTTTTGTATTCACATTCCTCTCCAATTTATTGTTCAATCTTCTGTCCACTATGCACATCTGGATAATATATTTTCTTGTTCTCCTAATATAGTTTGCTTAGTTGACCCTTTATTTATACCTATTGACACTCTTGTTGGAATACTCTCTCTTTTCCTCTATACTATTGAGAGGTTAAGCCAGCTGGACTTCCTGGATCGAGTGGGGACTTGGAGAACTTTTCTGTCTTAAAAGAGGATTGTAAAATGCACAAATCAGTGCTCTGTAAAAACGCACCAATCAGCACTCTGTAAAAATGCACCAATCAGCGCTCTGTAGCTAGCAAGAGGATTGTAAAATGCACCAATCAGTGCTCTGTAAAACCCACCAATCAGCACTCTGTAAAATGCACCAATCAGCATTCTGTAAAACACACCAATCGGCAGGATCCTAAAAGTAGCCAATCACAGGGAGGATTGAGAAAGGGGCCCTCTAATAGGACCAAAACGGAACATGGGATGGAACAAACAAGGGAGTAAAAGCTGTCCCCCCCAGCCAGCAGCTGCAACGGACTGGGGTCCCCTTCGAGGTTGTGGAAGCATTGTTATTTTGTTCTTCACAGTAAACCTTGCTACCGCCCACTCTTTGGCTCTGTACTATCTTTAAGAGCTGTAACACTCACCGCAAAGGTCCGCGGCTTCATTCCTGAAGTCAGTGAGACCACGAACCTACTGAAAGGAAACCTACTCTGGACACACTATTAAATCATATTTGTTTTAAAAATACAGTCAGTTTCTCAAATACTACAAAAAATGTCTCCAAACCTAAAGTCTGATATTCTTATTGTGATTCCCTATAGCTTTTTCATACATTCTGGCACTTGACAACACTAAATATTTTTGAAATTCATGATGTCTTTATTCCTCAATGGGTTTTTAAGCTATATAAAAGACCATACTATCTCCCTGTAGACAACAATAAATGTTGGTTGAAATAAAATTATATTAAACCAAATAGTGCACTTGGCTCCCATTCAGCCAGCACATTTTTAGGCACAAATTTCATTTTTTTAAATTAGAAATCAAATGAACTGAAATGAACTAGAATCAAATATGAATGGCTCTAAGAAATCGTAAAATCTCTCTCTTTCTATTAGGCTAGGATATAGGTGATATACATTGGAGAAGCTGATAGAGCTTTTTTCTTATATTTAAAAAAACTGTGATACTTTCCTATTTACTCACTACTTTTAGAGGTCAAAAATTTTAGAAAATTTCAAAGGAAAAAAGGAGTCAAAATGGGTTTTTTTTAAATGAGGTAACATTTCAAGAAGAACATATTTTTATCTTGGACAAAAATCTCCAAATAACAAACAACTACAAACACAATGTTTTACTGCTTTTTATTTATATTTGGATTTTCTACTTCCCAATGTGTCAGCTCTCCCAGAGGTACCCTAGATTGTGGCTTCTGTCAACAGTGCAAACTGTATCCAACTTTTAAGGCCAAACAGTGTTTTCTCTCATTAACGTTTATGGTCTTTGGTTTGACTAATTTCAAATAAACTTAGATCTCTAAAATTAGTGCCACAAGACAGGCACTTTACCCATTATCAGTAGGTGAAAAAATAAGCTGTCAACATCAATTTCAGTTTGAAAAAGAAGTTTAGTCTGTATTTAAATACAGATGTTGAGGCCTCCAACACAAAAATACTTTCTCTTAGCTAAGCCTTTATTTTTTCCTAAGAAGGACAACTGTGTTAGCAGCTTGTTTATAAAAAAAAAATCAATATAGAAACACATAGCAGCATGTGGCCTGAATCTGACAGCATGAGTGCTACATAAAAGGACAATTAAAAAATGTAATAGATGTTGCCACATCTCGCATAAGAATGAATTCATTTCCCAGGATCTTTTCAGTTACAGCAGGCTTAATGCTAACAACACAGGTATGGGGAGATTGTAGGTATCTTATTGTTGCAGGAAGCCTACCGGAGAAAGACCAAAGCATGATGTGTTTTGCGTTTTACAGAGTTAGGGAAGTGATTTAGTATGACATTCCTGTCACTCACAAGGAGTAAGCAGAAAAATTTTAAAATGCTTTTATTTAATGATCACAGGCTTAAAAAAAAATAGAAGTATGAGTTTTATGTCTTTACCCTGAGGTTGAACTTAGCCTGGTATGCTAATTGGAAATTATTGCATCATTAAGAACCCAAAATTTTAAAATCAAGATGAGGTCAGAATTGGTCACAAGGGTGCAGGCACATTCTTATTGATTATCTATGATGTATCCTGCTGTATACTTAGTTCTCTCTATAAGTTATGACTGCCTAGTGATTAATTTCCAACAAATTTCAAATGTCAACAAAGTCGAAAATATCAAAAGGAGGAGACCAGTAATCTTTGCTCTGTAACCAGAAGGGAGTATCCTAACGGATAGGAATTATGTCACTGAATCTGTATCCATGCAAACAAGAGAGAAAGAGAGAGGGATGTTAAAGGAGAAATTCTAATAAATTACAAGAGAATATATATCTGTATGTGGAAATGCTGAGTTATTTCTAATGCAGGGTCATTTCTAAGGACAAATGTCCTTGAAGTGTCACTAATCACTTTCTTTCCATTTTGGGGATTTTAAGCTTGTTTAGACTATTTTTCAAGTACAAATGCAGTGCAAGACTTCCCCTATTACTTCTTTACTGGGTTTCTAGTTTACTTATAGACATCTGAGGAGAATTGTCCACACAGACAGAGACACAGAAACACCCTTTTTACAAAGGTGTCTGTTACTCCTGCTGTTAAGTGAACAGGAGCAGAGGTAGGGAAGTCTTCCCATACATCCAATTGAGTAACCACTGAGCAAGGCATGGTACAGGGATGACAGGTTCATGCTCAAATGAAGCTGAGTGGTCTGGGATGCTAAATTTCCCTGGGCCTCTAGGACTTTCAAATGAGGTTTCTCATAGTGATTCTTGTCTAGGTCAGAGCACCTAACTGACATGAAATCGGTTTCCAGCCTCCCAAATGTACTTTGTTTGCTCTTTTTTTCTCTGTTCCTTCCTACAATTTCTCTCACAAAATTTTGTTATTCCTTCATAGTTCACTCTTTCTTAAATGCACAATGAATACCCCAAGCCTCATTTTTCTTAAATGTTACTTCTCTTTTTCATTTTCAGGATTAAACAAGAGAGCCCATAAAAACAAGAGCAGAGAGGAGATTAATCTTCAAATATCCCCAGAAGATAAAATAAAATATTGATGTTTCACAGAATAAAAAATAAAACCAAATAGTTCTTTCCCTATTAAAATAGGTTGTCCTATTTTAATGTGTCATAATAATAGCGTGATAAATTCCAGGTTATTGGATTATTATCAGGATTATCTTTTATCATGAAAATAATGGTGAAACTACACAGTAGATATTATTAGATACAGCCCAGAGATCAGAAAACTAAGGCTCAATGAAATAACAGGTCCAAGTCTCAGAGCAAATTAAGCAACCAGCTTTACACAATCTGTAAGACTCTAAATTCTTTTTCACTGAACTTTAGCCAAATTAGCATAAAGTACAAGAAAGGAATCGGAAGGAAACCAAGCTGTATAGCCTCAAAATGCACAGATTTTAATGATAGAAATAGAGGCAGTTCTAAAAGCAAGAGTAGAAATGGTCTTTTTGAAATAATAGTAGCAAAGTCTTGTATGGTTCTAAATACTGAGAAAATGTAATGCTGTGCAAAATGCCTCCATGAAACCAAGGAGAACAGTGAAGCCCAACTCAATTCAAGCCTTGTTAGAGCTGAAGAGATTCCAATAGCTTCTCACAGTGATTGGTAGTTCATAGAGGCACATGTTTACATATATGAATATCGTTTTATAAAGCTGCCATGATTTACTCGGATAGTTGCTTTCAATGTTAAGTCTTCTCAAACAGATATTATAGTTTTTCTCAAGTTCTCCCTCGCCTCCCCTTGGCCCATGGCATCTTATTCTGTTGGCCAGGCTGGAGTGCAGTGGCATGATCTCAGCTCACTGCAGCTTTGAAATCCTGGGGCTCAGGTGATCCTTCCACCTCAGCCTTCTGAGTAGCTGGGACTACGGCATGTGCCACTATGCCCAGCTAATTTTTTTTTTTTTTTGGTATATTTTGTAGAGACAGGATTCCATCAGGTTGCCCAGAATGGTCTCGAACTCCTGGGCTCAAGCGATCCATATCCGCTTTGGCCTTCCAAAGTGCTGGGATTATAGACATGAGCCACCAGGCTAGAGCTCAAGTTTTAACTTACTTAGAAATTGTAGCAGATGTTATAGCTCAAATATTATATAACCATAACAATGTCAATCAGTTTAGCCTTACAGAGGGTGAGTACCAAGATGATCATGATCAAGATACTGTTAACACTATGGTTCATAAGTAAAGATGATTATTCAAGTGGCGTTAGATTAATTTCTTCAGAAAAAAAAAGTCTATACCAGAATGATGATGTCTGAAGCAAGTTGTCCTTAAACATAGAGAGCCCCTGATTTTAGGGAGTCAATGGAATAAAAAATACTTAAAATTTAAACTGAATACTCAAGTCCACTTTTTGCCTCATTGTTATTCCTTAAAAGAAACATTCTGTTGGACACCATTTCCTTGATTTAATTGGTCATTTTCAGAAGGAAGAGAATAATCTTTATCAAATAAGAATTAATATGATGCCAGATGAGATTATCTCTTCAGTGACCTCAAGAAGATCATTTCCTTAATTGGTCATTAAAATTAACATGTCCATTATTCCAAAAATACAAGAAAATTAATTGCTTGAAGCTAATAACTTTATATATTAAAGGAGCAAGTTGATGAATAATTTGAATACCAACATGCTATTCTCACTGCCATTTATTATTTCATTGACAATGTTGGGTAAAAAGCCAAAATAACACTTCTGAGGCATTCACACATATTCTCAAATTTTGTCAGCAGATCTTTGTAAAAGCAGGAGATGGACAAAGATAGAATTATTATTTATTCACACAGCAAACTGTCATCTGAACATCTCCTTATGCTTCTGAAATATGTGAAAATGAAATGACTCAGAATATAGTAGCCACTTACCTATTACCCCTATATTTAACTAAATTAGTTTTATTTATTTTTTTTAACTCAGATGACTCTCATGCCACTCATACACTGAAATATATGTCCTCCAGCAAAACACAATTTGGTAGCATTCTAGAATTGTGGGGTTCTATTGATCTAGTGACCAGGAAAAGTACCAGTCACTATTATTAATACTGCATACAGAATGATGCTAAATAAAAAAGAATGCAATAATTACACTGAATAAAGTCTAATTGGGGCATGTACATACATATCACATGCATATACACACACACCTATAGAAAGACAATACTTATTCTTGGATTTAGAGCCCACGATCACGATCCAGGAGGATCCCATCAACATCCTTAATTTAATTACATTTGAATAGATGCTTTTTTCCTAATAAGGTAACTTTCACTAGTTCCAGGGCTTTGATGTAGATATCCTTTAGGGGACAATATTTCTGCCTATCACTCCAACATAATCATTATTGATCTCAAGTGTTTTCCCTCATTTATATGAAGAAATATAGTAATGCACATTTTTTCCAGCACCAAAGGCTGATTTTACTTCCAATATTGTTGCTTATTATAATTCAGAGCTGAGACCTATACACTAGGATGAAATATTACAATAACCAAAGCCAAGAGTAGATCTCAAAATTATTGGTCTTAATTAATAGCATATTGCTTCTAAGAGTGATTAAACTTGGTGTGTGTGTACACACATGTGTATACATACACACATATATATAAATGTATATATACATGTGCACACACACATATATAAAAATTGAAACAGCATCAGGAGATGTGTTATTTGTTAGCAACATATGAATCTATAATATCCACACAATACATATGCCCCTTTATTTGAGGACATATTTGAGACTCCCAAGTACATCTGACTTTCTTCACTTATTGGAGACAGCTCTGGCATGTGTGTACATTTTGTCTTTGTTTCTCCTTAACTGGGCATTACATATCACTAAGGATTCAGATATACCAAGTCAAAAATTATTTCTGATTTCAGAGCAGTAGTTGAATTTTGTTATATAATTTCTAATTTATTTAAAACAATGTACACTTACATATTTAGCAGGCTTCACTGATAGCCTATTCCCCAGGCACTGATCCTGGTTTTGAGTCTCTACTTCGGAGGTGTAGAGCGACCTCTCCATGAAAATATTGGAAGTTTAGTATGCTCTATTTTTCAGGTGAAAACAGTTTGAATTTACTATTTTTATTCATATGAGTGGAGGGAAAACTCTTATGGTTAATAATAATTATGTTAGAGTGGTAGGCAGAAATATGGTCTCCTAAAAATTTTCTGTATCAAAACCCTGGAATTAGTGAAAGTTACTTTATTAGGAAAAAAGCATCTATTCAAATGTAATTAAATTAAGGATGTTAATAAGGTCATCCTGGATTACCATGGTGGGCCCTAAATCCAAGAATAAGTGTCTTTATAAAAGACATCCAGGAAAGATTTGACTGGCAGAAGAGGCAAAGGCAATCAGGTCATGGAAGCAGAGACTGGAGTGATGAAGCTATCAGTGACCAGAAGCTGGAGGAGTCAAAAGTTGGAATCCCCACTAGAGCCTCTTGGGGAATCAGGGCCCTGCTGACACACTGACTTCAAACCACTGGCTTCAGAACAGGCAGAGATTAAATTTCTGTTGTTTTAAGTCACCCATTTGTAGACATTTGTTACATCAGCCTCAGGAAACTAATACAGGTGGTAAACCATTTTACAACTGATACACTGAATGACGATTAATAAAAGTACTAAGAGTTGTAGGGACAAGAGAACAAGGAAGAATGTAAAATTAAATGCATGATAAGTGAGAAAAAAAGCACAATCAATTTCTATGCTGTGCTGTGAAGTAAAGAAAAGAAATTTATGCAAGATGACTCAGGAGGGGTGCGTGTGCGTGTGTGTGTGTGTGTGTGTGTGAGAGAGAGAGACAGAGAGAGAGAGAGAGAGAGAGAGAGAGAGAAACATTGTATAAAAACACTCTACTTAGGAAAACCACCAAAGCAGTGAGGCAAGTTGCATGGTGGAGGGAGGTGGGTAGCACGTGGTTTAAGGGATAATGTCATTATAATTCAGTCAGAAACGGATTAGGGTGAAACAATTGAGTGTACCAAAAGCATTAGATCCAAAAATGAACTTCTCTCTGGGGTACAGATACTGGTGTTAGAAAATTGTGAGTTACCATATTAATCTATTCATGAATTTTAACTTGTATTACTTTTCTAAAATACCCGTAGACCACAGACAAATATTTCAATGATATCAGAAGTTTTCATAACCCAAATAAAATTTTACTTTCTCTTCACCAATTAACACTTTCAGTGGAGGCCAATATATAACAGAGATGGGCTACATCATTCTTCATTATCCTTTAATGTACTCCTTTCCAATCAATTATAAGGTGGGACTATACCCTAGTTGTACATAGTTAGAAGTAGGGGGCATGATTTAGTTTAGCCTGTACCATCAGCTTTCAGATTTCAAGACCGAGTAACAGACTAGAAAATCAGGGCTTTGTCCAGTCTATCACTGATGGTCATTTAGGTTGAGTCTGTGTCTTTGCTATCGTAAACAGTACTGAGATGAACGTACATGTGCATTTTAAAAATGAATGAGATCATATCCTTTACAGGATCATGGATGGAGCTGGAGGCCATTATCCTCAGCAAACTATCACAGGAACAGAAACCCAAATACCACATGTTCTCAGTTATAAGTGGGAGCTAAATGATGAGAACATATGGACACATAGAGGGGAACAACACACACTGGAGACTATCAGAGGGTGGAGGGTGGGAGCAGGGAGAGGATCAGGAAAAATAACTAATGGATACTATGGTGATGAAATAATGCATACAACAGACCCCCATGACACAAGTTCACCTATGTAACAAACCGCACATGTACCTCTGAAGTTCAAAGTTAAACAAAACACAACAAAACAACAACAAAGAAAATCAGGGCTATGGACTGTGGCATAAATCCAACAACTACCTTTTCTAAGCATTATTGTCTCATTTGTCAAATAATAATAGAGGAGGATCAACATTAAAAACAAACAAATTGAAAAAATATCATAGATGATTCTGAATTATCAATCTCAACACATAGAAATATGCTTAAAATGCCTCAAAATATATTTCCACTGTGAAGTGAGTAGTGTCTAGGGGCCCCAAATTCAAATGAAATAAGGATTCCAACATAGGCACTCTCTTTTCAGATAACCAGTTCATACAGGGACAATGCCAGCTATTGTCTCTCCTACTAGCCAGGATATAAGAGCAACTTTTGTGTCTGCACTGGTTGAAGGAAGAGGAAACTTACAGCAAATGCTAAAAGGTTATATGATTAAAGATTGTTTTATGCAAGGTTATGGAGGGAGGGTTTGTTCTCATGGCACAGAAACTGGTTGACATAAAAAATTGATGATAATGCCTTATTGAATCCCTGCAGATGAATTCAACCCCATGTGACAGCATATATATATATTGGAAACCAATTTATGCATGTTAATATTTTGTACCCATGCCATGAAAAAAGTAAATAGTCACATCACAGATATAGGATTGGTATTAGTATTTAATTAGGCTGTAGATATTAACACATATAAAAAAATGAAAGCCAACTTTGGAAACAAAAATATACCCCAAAATTTTCTCCTCATCTTTATTGAATAGCTTAAGTGTATTTCAATATACTAAATAAAGAGATAGATTACAATATTTTTAGCTATTTAGGTGTCCAAATATTTTCAATCAGATGAATTATAAGAGACCTAGAATTTAAAGACATTTCTTTACATTTGATTAGAAAAAGAAATGTTCATTTATAATGAATACCTTCTAGATAAAAAGCTTTCATAACATACAGCAAATTAAAAACCCAAAATGTGCAAGCTGTTTTAGAAATCATCACTAATAAAACCTGTAAAAAATATATATTAAATCTTCTCTGGTGGCCTGATAAACAGAGAGATTTATGCTTTACTTGGAGCATGACACATGTTTTAAGGTACATTTGTACAGTGTGATAATTTATTGTGGTAATATATTATAATACTGTTCAGCAAATTTAAACATTCCACAGTAAAAAAAAAAAAATTGCATGTGAGTGGACAGGGTATGGAGAAACAGAAATGAAATACAGTTCCAGATCTCTGCTGAAAAAATGGAATGGTTTATAAAACTTTTTACATAAATGTAAAATATCATTCAGGAATCTTAAAACATGTACTGAGGTATTTTAATATTTCAGATGCTTTGCTTCAAAAGCAACTTCTTATTTGTTAAAATATTAAAAATCACCAAAATTGTACCTAAAGGAGTACACTTAGCCTAAAGAATAATTTTAGGACATTTCTATGAACATTTCAGATGCATATATTAGTTTGCTAACTCGGTAAGAATAAAGAATTCTCTGAAATTTTTCATCTGCTTTCAGCAAAATAAGATCTCAATTACTTTAAAATGTATAGTGATACCTAAGTACCTATACTCTACCTCTAATCACATCCCCTTAAATCTCATGAGCAAAATTGGGATTTATCGCTTACCAATATACCAACATATCTGCATATTCCATAAGAATACAGATTGTACAAAAAGAAGAAAGAAGGAAGGAAGGGATGGAGGGAGGGAGGAAGGAAGGAAGGAGAAAGAAATACAGAAGGAAAGATAAAAGAAAAGAAGGAGAGAAAGGGAAAGAGAGGAAGAAAGAAGGAAAGAAAGAAGAAAGAAAAGAAAGAAAGAAAGAAAGAAGAAAGAAAAGAAAGAAAGAAAGAAGAAAGAAAAAGAAAGAAAGAAAAAGAAAAGAGAAAGGAAGGAAGGGAAGAAGGAAGGAGAGGAAAGAAAAAGAGAAAGAGAAAGGGAGAGAGAGGGAGAGAGGAAGGGAAAGAGAAAGAAAGAAAGAAAGAGAGGAGTAAAGAACATGAAGTATACTTGAAAGAAATTTCCTAAGAATTGATAAGTATATCTGACAGTGCAAATTTTTGAAAAGGGAGTGTCCTGAGTCAAAGATGATTGTTGTTTTAGGTTCAGGGTACAGATGCATTTGATTCCATTTAGATTCAACATTTCCGCCAAACCCTTCCCCAATCCAGAGTCCCTAAACACTTGGAGAAAAGGGGACATTGGAGTTCACCAGGAGAAGATAATGAGCATTGCAATCAAGAATAACAGCGTCTAGAGGCGATTGAGGTAACTGATGAGTCAGAGCCACCATCTGTGTTGCCTCAGTGGGGCCCAAAACAGCAGCAATAGCTATAGGAATTAATACAGCAACTACATGCTGGAGGTACAGATGCTGATGGGCTTAAAAGAAACAGTGCCACAGAGGGGTGTGGAGCTGTAGACAGTTGCTAAAACATGAGAAGCAAGGCTGGTATACGTCCATTTGACATGTAGGACTTTTAGATGGAGAAACTAATGTGATTTTTCCTGTAACACAGAACATGTTGAGGTCAAAAGGCATTTATGTTGTGTACGCTCTAAATTTAAGTCACATATCTCATTGGTTATTATTCCTTTATCTGCAGATAATCTACCTTATTTCTTGAAATTATGTTGAAACCAATTCAATGAATACCAAAATGAGAATAATCTGAATTTATAGAGCAAGTAGGCAATTCATTAATCCACTCATAAAATACATACTTTAACAATTGTATGCAAGGAATAATTCTTGGTGCTATGAGAAATTCGAAGATAGCAAATAAACACATTGATTAAACATCTGTAATGAGTTATTTCTTTGCTAGCTTGCTAGGTGCTTCAAGAAGATCCTTAGTTTTTTCTTTTTCTTTCTTTTTATGTGGTGATGGTAGGACTATATGAGTAAGTGAAGAAATGGACAGATAGAGATGGAGTGAGGTAAAGCAAAGAAAGCACTTAAGCTTGGGGTGCAGGTTCCTATTTCATTGCTCTTACAGCACACTAAGCTATCTCAGACTACATGCCATATACATATCTATGCATATCAAAAATATATCATAAAGCTGTTTTATAAAGACAATCATATTCTAACCTATAAAAATAGGAATAAATACACAGTAACTGATTTTCTTGAATCATTTTTCTAATCTCCAGTTAAAAACTAAATATATTAGTAGTAACAAAATATGTCACAACTGTAAGGTGGGTGGGAATAGACATATATAAACTCTGTATACTTAGATCACAGACAAAGGAGTTGAAAGAAGGAATTGGGATTTGTCAGACTCAGTCATGAAAGTGGAACCTCAATTCATTTAAACAATCCAATTACCCACTTTTACTATCCTCTTCATATGTACATATATATACATACATATGTATAGTGAAAACTGCAATTACTTTTGCACCAACCTTATATATATATGTGTGTGTGTATGAAGACACACACACATATATAAACTAATGCATTAAAAGTACTCATGATGGAAAATCTTTTAACCATATTTTAGTTTTCTGTTGCTAGGTAGCAAATCATCAGAAATTTAGCAGATTAAAACAACACACTTTTGTTACCTCACTGCTCTGTAGGTCATTTTAAATGGATTCAGCTGAATTCTCTGCTCTAGGCTAAAATCAAAATGTCAGCCATGCAGGGCTCTTATGTAGATGCTCTGGAAAAAATCTGCTTCCAAGTTCGCCCAAGTCTTTGACAGAATCAAGTTCCTTGAAATGAGAGGATTGAGATCTCTGTTTCCTTCCTTGATTTGGGGAGCTACACTTCTTAGGGAAGCTCTCATTTTTTCCTCACTTGACTCTTTACCTAACGAGGTTGTGTTTGATCCTTCTCGTGCTTCCTATTTCTCTGACATTTCCTTTGCCACCACCCCCAAGAAATCACTATTTTTAAGGGCTTGTGTGATTACACTGGGCCTACACAGATAATCTAGCATAATCCCTCCATTTTAATGTCGACTATGTCATAGAACAATTAGACCTGCACATTTTTAGCAAGTCATTTAAGAAATTCTGCTTACAACAGGTATAAAATTGCATTGCAAGAAGTGCAAAACACAGTGACCACACAATACTGATATATTCTTTTATCTTATACTTCCCTACTTTAAAAAAAGAACTTCAATCAGTAGTAGAGTACAGAGGCTATCCATTTAGCTGTAGCTTTATCCAGAAATGAAGAATGAGGTCATAATCACGATTGTCTGGCACTGGAACATCTTATGGCTGCCTCTCTGGGATCATTACTGAGATCAATGACTCCTTCCCTCATGTCTTCCACATTCAGGTTCATAATCCTTCTAAACTACCAGGATTTCTAATATGTTGCTTTGGTACATGGATTTAAACTTCCATATTTAATGGGCTTAAGAGATAAATATAGAGATATTTTGTGATCATAAAGGGTTCTTTTTACCCTGTAATTACTATTCTTTACTGAAACTTAGAGACAGACAGAAGCCTTTTGAAAGTGAGCTCATTAAACCTCAGCCCAATCCCTTTGCCCATGTTTTAAAATGTGGTCTTCATATCCCTAGCAAAAAACTTTTAAAAGAGGAAGAAATAGGACTTTATGATCTCATGTTTTTAATAGAAAGTCATGCTGAGTGGACTTTTTAAAAGCATGTTTCTCAGAGATTCTTCAAGTGTTTATATCTACCACTTAGAAAAATGTCTTAGAGAAGAAAGAATCATAAAACATAAAAGTTCTCTTCTCTTCTACTTTATGTCACTAACTTAACATTATGCTCAAGGAACACCACAAAACTTCTAGTATTCAACATTTCAGATTTTTTAATTAAAACACAGTGTATTTATCACACAGCACACAGAGACACAAAGTTGTCAAACATATATATGCAAATTTGTTTATATTTACATGTATATTTATATATTTATGTGTATATATTCTAATAATCATCACATACACTAATTCACATTTATACATTTGCATAATTATCTGAAGAAGCATCCACTCAAGTGTTTAGACAACCAATTATATGTTCCCAAAAGATATTTAATTTTTCAGACTGTCTCTGTGTATTTTAAAAATTCACTGTTTGTAAATACATGACAGTAGATATGATAAATTACATTTGACTGTTTCAAGCAGGTCCTTAGTCAAAATGACATATTATATGCTCCTGAAATAATTATATAACATTAAAAATAATTTTCTAAAAAATAAAAATATTTCCTATAACTTCTACAAAACTTTGCTTTTTATCTATAATCCATGTTTACTTGCACACATATTTATAATGTTTCTTGCTTTTCAAATATTACTCAAATAACATTATTCCCATAGACACTGCCTATGTTTCTTCCAAATGTGACATAATTATGTTTGACTTTCATTAGTTCATTACCACATATTTTTCATTAGGCATTTTAAGTGATTTCCAGTTTGAGTGCACATGTTTTGTGTTTTTTTCTGGTCCGTCTCAATTTTACTAAATCATTACAGATCTTAAAAAATTTTCTGTAGGTAGCTTTACAAAGTACCTGGTTGAAATTAATATTTTTCTATTATTTTATGTTTTATCTTTTTGGTTCCTTTTCTGCTTCTCTCTACTTGACTGCTGTCCCAACTGATTCCAGCAAAGGTTGCCCACTTCTAAAATACAGAAGCACAACCAGGGGCTATGATGGTGTTTCTCCATGAGCAGTCCACCCATGTTTGGCTCAAAATACTCACGTGCTCTCTGAAATGAAAGAAACTCTGGCCCCATCCCATATTTATTTAATCAGAATCACTATAGTGAGGGTAGAGGTTATAATTCCTGGAATCTTTATTTTTAAGAGTTTTTTTGTTTTTTTGTTTTGTTTTTGTTTGTTTGTTTTGAGACGGAGTCTCACTCTGTCGCCCAGGCTGGAGTGCAGTGGTGCGATCTCGGCTCACTGCAACTTCTGCCTCCTGGGTTCAAGCGATTCTCCTGCCTCAGCCTCCCGAGTAGCTGGGACTACAGGCACGCGCCATCACACCCATCTAATTTGTGTATTTTTCGTAGGGACGGGGTTTCACCTTGTTGGCCAGGATGGTCTCAATCTCCTGCCCTCATGATCCACCTGCCTCAGCCTCCCAAAATGCTGGGATTACAGGTGTGAGCCACCGTGCCCGACTTTAAGAGATTCTTTTTTAAGGTTCCTTCCTTTTACGTGTTATGAAAGTATTTTTATTTCTCCATTTTGTTTCTTCAATCTATTCTAATTTATCGATACTTTTTTTTGAAATTTTTAATTTCTAGAAGCAAACTAATAAAAAATGATGATCTATTGGTCACTGCATAGCACATTCTCTAAAATGGTATTTCACAAAATCAACACCTATATTCAGACCTATTATTTATAAATGCCTTACAGGAAAGCCAGCCTACATTTTCTTTCTAAAGCTGAGTTTGCTTAATAATTTGCTTTCTTTTTAAGTGCAGAACTTATTCTCAAGGGGACTTTTCTTGGTGTTCTAACATCTGCTGTAGCTGAATCTGAAATGGCATTTGCAATTTATTTGATTTAATATTTGTTAACTAGTGCTGCATTTCACAACAGCATCTACAGTCCAGCTTTTTGTGGGTGTATTTTTTTTAAAAAAACTATTTTTTAAAACTAAAGGACACTATCATTTATCTAAAAAGGGGCCATCCAGATTTGCCCTCAAGATTACAACTGCTGGGGCTAAAGTGGTACAGAGCCTGAGTTCAGTAGGCTTCCATAGTCTCACTCAAGAATGCAAGTTTACCTCTCAATCTTTCAATCATCACAATTATAACAACTTTAAAAAGAGCCAACATGGATATTTTGCCTATCACTTTTCTACTCACATTTCCAGTATTAACTCAAAAGTGTCAAAACAACCTTGTGATAAATACTATTAACGTCATCATTCCTACTGTACAGATGATGATAGTGACACATAGGTTAAGTTGCCCAAGGTCTTATTATTAAGGGTCATAGCCAGGATTTGATCTCTTCAGTAAAGTTCTAGTCAATGCTCTTAACCATTAAGCCATGCAACACACCCAGAGCCAACTGGGTTGTGTTGATGATTATAATATTTGTTTTAACAAACAATAATTTTTCCTAAATATAATATAGATTTTCCATAAATACCATAAATTCTTGATTATTTATTTCACTTTATTCCAAAAGGAAGTTGAATTCTGAGATTTAAATGAATAGCAAACAACAGTTGCTTAATTTCACTACTTTTGTCACTTGTAGCCAGTACTTAAAAAGAGATACATAATTTATTTTTGTTGATTTGCATTTCACATATAATTGTAAGATCCTGGAGAATAAAGACTATATGTGTTATACCATTTTACTCTCTCACACAGTGTGTAGGCCTAGGCTTTGTGCATAGCAAGTGTTAAAAAGTAATGTGACTCGTGATAGTTATTAGATTTATTGAAATTCAGAAATTTAGGGAAATGCACAATAAAATGTACATTTTGTGATTCCGGTCAAATTACTTAAAAATTATATTTTTCCTATGAATAATTTTTATTTCACTTAAATTATGTATAACAAAATAACATGCATAATTAAACATTTACCACAAAGAAAATATTTGTACTATTGTTATCACAATAAAGAACTTGCTACATAAATTCAATTACACTTTTGTGGAAAGTATCTTCATTATATAAAAACAATCTACATTTAGAATAGGAAAATTGTACAAAACATGAAAATATAAACAAATTAAGCGAGAATTATCTAAAAAGCAACTCTTCAGAATTTAGAAGAATTGTCTAGAATAAAAAGAATTTAGAAGAATTATCTAAGAAACAACCATAAATATTCTGATGTATTTAAGACTCATATTCTAGAATCCTGACTATTATTTTTTATACTTCTATGGCTAATCTCAAGTTTAGCTTTATTTTTCTAAAGCAATGAGGCCTGTAGAATATTTTTTCAGAATTCTCTGAGGTTTTTTCTTTTTTGTCTTTCCTGTCATAGTATGCCAATTATTCATGGGTTTATAGAATATGTATGCACTGCTAAGAGCAGCAAAACAAAAGATATATGTGCTATTTATTAATTCATGTTGCTTTATTTAAATTACTTGAAAATGATAAAGAAAAAACTATTGTATTTACAACAGCAACCAAATATAGACTACCTGTAACTACATCTAACAGAATAAATAAAATATAACATACAATATGTAGTAAATATATTTATAATATATATGTTCACTAAATAGTTAACCTGTAACTTACTTACAGTAAATATATATAATATCTACTGAGATAGTACCACATTTTATTAAGGATTAAACTTTTAATAATTCAGAAGAATAAATATAATAAATTTCATTTGTTCTCAAACTAATTTGTTTTTATTTGTTTGTTTTTTGTATTTTAATTTGACAGTAGTTCCAAGATATTTTGGGGTATATAATGAGGTGATAATTGCAAAGAAAATTCTGAAAAGGAAAAGACTAAGCGTGAATTGAAAGTAAAATTCGTTAAAAGGTATAATAAACTGTGATACTGTAACAATAATTGAAAATAGATAAAGAAAAAGGTAACATCAATAAATAGTCTATTATATATGTGAATTATGTTAATAAAAGTGACATTTTATTTTCAATCCACAATTTCTGAAATATATATGGCAATATTTTTCTGTTTTATTTTTTCAACCTCTGATTACTTTATTACATTTTTTTCTTTTTCTAGAATTTACTTGTATTTTCTCTGTGTCTAATATATGATTATTTCTGAACTAGCATCATTGGTCCTGGAACCAGACTATATTATTCCCAAGGTAGAGCATCAAAATATAACAATTAAATAAATACTTTTAGTTACTTTAACAACCTTTTGTCTTTCATTATAATTTTGGAATTATAGTTTAGTACAATACAGATAGTTTTAATATCTGTTAGAGTGAAGATATATATATATGTGTGTGTGTTTTTGAGATGGAGTCTCACTCTGTTGCCCAGGCTGGAGTACAGTGGTGCCATCTCGGCTCACGGCAACCTCTGCGTCCCAGGTTCAAGCAATTCTCCTGCCTCAGCCTCCCGGGTAGCTGGGACTACAGGCGAGTGTCACCACGCCTGGCTAATTTTTTGTATTTTTAGTAGAGACAGGGTTTCACCATATTAGCCAGGATGGTCTCGGTCTCCTGACTGTATGATCTGCCCGCCTGGGCCTCCCAAAGTGCTGAGATTACAGGCGCGAGCCACCGCACCCGGCCCGAAGATATTTTTACTAAAGTCACACAGGTATACTTGTACATTTTGTTCCCATGTTGTTCAGCACAAAGTGATTCCCAGCATTTGTATCTTCAGTCTGAATTGTGTACTGTAGGAATCTAAATCCCTTAATCCTTTGCAGGTTGATTTTAATTTTGCTTGTCTGTTTTTCATGGGAACGTAGGGTTTACGTGACCTTGTATGATTTTTGGTCGCAAGCAATCAAGAGAGTATGTAATAAGAATCCACGTGTCCTTTGACTAAAATCTCTCAATTTTGTTCAAAAGTAGCAGATGTGTTCTCTACACCCACATACACATTGATCTAGTCTCTTTCTCATACAGCAGGACAGCCTGACAGAGGGCAAGGATAGCTTGCCATGTTTTCTCTTCTGACCACAAGTTTATATAGCTTGTCAAAGATTTCTGATGGTCATTTTATTTTAGCTCTTCCTGTTTATTCATTTTTGCTAGAGACTTGAGGAGTGTTTCTGGAGGGCAAGAAATATATTTTGAATGTTAACTGAGTAGGAATTTACTTGCGACTTCTGTTTTCAGTTGAGTTGATTCTGTGTTGAGTTAAAGATATTAATTCTGACCTACTCATAGAGTTCATTTCACCCTGTCTACTGAAGAGATTAATTAAATACACCATTATAGTGAATATATTTGATCTTATATTTGCCATGTGGTTCTATGATGTCTGCTTATTGCTTCCTTGTTGTTTCTTTTGTTTATTATGACTCTACCTGGTCTTATACCTTCTCTGTAAGCTTCATCTGGGATGTATAAGCAGCCAGCTGCTATCAGTTGTTCATTCCATATTAGAACTGAAACGCATTCAGTTCTAAGTATTAAAGAGTAGTCAGAGTTGAAGACATGATTCAGATATAACTAGTTTAGTTAAGCATGAAATTTTAACCAACCAAGATCCATTATGAGACAGTACTTGTCTAAGAAAGGAAAAAGCTGGGTCCAGCTACTTCTGCAGAAGACGGAACTTCATATATAATAAATAAGCTTCTCATCTTTCCCCCCATCGAGCTATTTACTTGAAATATGTTTTAAAGAGTGGTGGGTAGATTATTAAATCAGGCAATGTGCAATTCTAATATGCCTCTCCAAGGTAGTAAATGAACAATAAGATGAGGGGCAGTTTGGTTTGTAGAACGTTTAAAAGTCCAATAGAGAAAATGACAGACTAGGTCCCAGCTAGCTCATCTTCTTTTACCAATTATTTTGATCAAAAGTTGAGACAAATAGCCATGGGGGGTCAATTACCCAAGGGCAAATCCCAATTGCTATAAGACTATCTTTTGACTTGACAAATTGCAGCGATGCAAAAATAAAATTGTTTACTATCATGTTAGCCTACGGGACCTCTAAAAGTCATAGCTTGAATTCTGATTTCAAAGTTCAGTGATTCAAACAACTCCTGAAGCCAGAAGTAAACACTTCAATGAAAAATTATTGTTAAAGTACTCATCAGACTTTATTTTTAATGGTTTAACTTTTTATAAATGTATTGGATCAGTTTATTTGCTATCTACAATATGCCAAATCAATTTCTGAAACAGAAATGCACTTATTCTTAATAGGGTAGTTAGCTTTGTATCATTGTCTGCCTTATTGTCAGGCATAGCAATCAATACTACGTAGTATGATTTGAGCAGAGTGGGGAAAGCTCTCTATGAAAGTACTTTTTTTTTCTTAACCTGGTGTCAAAGTGACTGAAGGTCTACTACTCAAGACTAATTTTGTTTGACAGGTCAGTGCCCACTCTAGTTGAACTGCCTTAAATGAAAATATCCCTCACTGGCAAACACTTCAAGTCACTGGCACTTTAGTGTTACATATTTTTCTCTTCTTTTCTCATGCTGGTAGCAGGGAACCCAGCTTCATCAGAATCCTGAGCATGGACTAAAGAAAGGAAAGTTAAAAGACTCAGAGAATTAAGTGACACAAAAGCAGTATGAGGAAGTTGCAAGGAAATTCATTCTTTTTAAAAATATATTTAAACATAGATCCTCCAAATCTGTCAGTGGTACTGATATTCCTAAATCTCATTTGCCCAAGAGTGAGTCACAACTCTTACTAGAGTTTCCCATAGCTCAATTCATAGTAGGCGGTAATGTTTTGCCAAAAATTTACTAAAACCTCTCACTTTGTAGAAGAAAGTTAAACACAGAGCTAATCTAATAACCCTGATGACCAGATATGTCATATTCTCAATAGTCCTTTGGGTGCCTTTCATCTTCCTGAATCTTAAAATCTTGAATGTGTTTACATTCTGGAAGTTATAAACTTTTCACCTTCTTTGTCTTCTGTATGCCTGCCACTGACTATATGGAAAACGAGTAGAAAAATCTCATCTGTTCTGAAGCAGTTTCAAGTTGGTGCTCTCTATCTAAAATATCTGTGTAGCAAAGTTAAAATGAATTATCAAAGATACTTATTTATCACTAACACAGACACAGAAATGTGCCTAAAGTGGAGGCAAGTGATATGAAAACAGAGATCAGCATAAATGACAGAAACATTCTGAAAAAGTGCATACTTTCTGCTATTGTTGATAGTGTGGTTTTATATTTCTTTAATATGATGATCATTTTTATCCACATAGAACATAGTTCTTTAGAGATCTGAGGAACTGATGAAGCTCAGTTATTGTAGCATCTAAAATTCACAGGTTCATGGTGACTTCCACTTTTCAACTTGGTCTTGACTTTTTTAAGTGACTAAATAAAACAAGTGAATCAATATTTAAAGAAAGTTTTCCTTGCCTTGATTTTGTTTTTATTAAACTTATTGAAGTTTGAGATGAGGAGAAAGATGTGCTTTTACAGAATGAAGCCTTCAGTGGGATGCTTAAAATACCTTAGGACTTTTCTTTTTTTCTTCACTGCTTGATTAAAACTACAGGCTGAAGCAAGAAAAAATGAGTGAGCTCAACTCATTCTTTCTAGATTTAGGTACTTAACAGAGTCTGCTGCATTATGTTGGTAAGGACCAATTTGACCTTACGCATGGGTAAAGGGGTTAAAGATTATTGAAGGCATAGAAAAGACCTTGTTGCTCAGATAGCCAAAGTGATACACTAGCCACTCTTTTTTTCTCTTTGTAAGTTAACTCTTTGTCTCCCTTCTCTCCTTATCACTGATACATAGTGCTAACAAGTGGTCTGATTCGTTGTCTTAGATCTACATCAAGGCACCAAAGTAATGCCTGCATATATAGTATCTTTAGTATTTTTTTGCCCCTTGCTTTACTGCAGTACCTGCATGTTTGTCCTCACAGCTTACATAGGAAGACAAGTACCATCCACATGCACATAGCCTCCATGATCATGAATTATAGAATATGATGCTACCATCGATTATGTATCCCAGGCGAGAGATACTGGTGTTAGCCTCAGTACTAGGGTTCAGTGACTAAACTTGCCATAATGGATGAAACTCTATGCATACATAATTTATACCCATATCTTTTAATTTGGGTAAATAATAATAATAATAATTATTATTATTATTATTTTGATCCTCAACTTACCATCTCCCCTAGCCCTACTGAACTCATTCTGAATAAGACATTAATTATGAAACACTTAGCATTTTTAATATATAAAAGATTATATGCCAGGCCCTACAGTTCCAAATGGAAAACTGAGGCATAGAAAGTTTATGTAACGCATAATACAATTATTGGGTGTAAGAAAGAATAGAAAGGGAAGAAAGGAAGGAAAGAAGCCATGTCATATTGCCGACTCCCAGAAAACTTAATTGCAAGACAGAAGAAAATTTTTTTCTAATAAAATTTAATCAAGATTTCTTCAATTTTAGCTAAAAAATAAAATTTAGGACTTTGGAATTTGCTAAAAAATAGTTGATTGCTACTCTGGAAGAAACTATTACTTCCTTCAACTTTTTTTCCCCCTGTTTGACTTAGAATTCTCAGTAAGGACAGCTTTTGCTCCAATGTACAATTGACCACATTAAAGTCTCACAAAGAGGAGAAGAGACTGGTTGGGGGTGGAGGGAAGAAAGGCAACAAAGAATAGGCAGTGGAAAGTATCTAGGAGGTCAAGAAAATGAGAAAAAAAAAGAATTTAGAGACAAAGTGTCAGTATGCAAGTCTCAATTGTCTGTTACTGACTGTGTGGTCATCAGAAAGGTGTTTTTCTTTGATAAAAGCATTATGTTTGTCTGTGAATTTAGTATAATAATGAGAAGAAGACATATGTCTATTCTTCCATAAATATTTTTGAATGCTTACACTGTGGTAGGCTATATGTTTGACTCCTGGGATACAATGATGGGCAAAAATGGTCACTTGCTCAGCACTCAAGGAATTTACAATAGAATAAAGGAGAAATCCTATAATTAAATGGTCACAACAATATTCCAATATTATGACTGAGATATGTGCTATTAACAAAAATTTAAATTAGGACTAATCACTTAGGGAAATAGGAGGTAGTTATGAGTTGAGGGGCGATTTGAAAGAAGAGTAGAAATTAACAAGGTTTGTCTGATTTGAGATGACAAGTATTACTACCGGGGGATAGAAATAATTGAAAGACCCTATCATAGGAAGGAGCATGCTTTTTTTTAAGAAATGGAAAATTATGAGCATGTTGTAAAAGAAAGATCGAAAAGAAAGATGAAACCCAGATTGTCAACAGTAATTTACTTCATATGCATCATGGCTACAATACATGAGAAAATGCTTGTCTAAGTACTTGGCAAACATACAGTTCTACATAAGCATTTGATATTTTTGCAATGTTAATCCTGAAAGATTAGTTCTATTCCAGCAAGTGTAATAAGACTAAAATGTAGGAACACAAAAATTAATTTTAATTTAAGTAACCTATGAGATTCTAGACTGGAATATTATATTATTGTGATATCAGTCTTAAATCGATCCAAAAACAATTTTCATAATCACATTGAAAAAATTGCCTTTTGACCGCTGAGGAACTGCACAGGTGATCCCCAGACCTGACTTGGTGCACTATGTTTAACAGGAATGAGAAAGAAAGCAACAAGCTACAAAAAAAAAAAAAATGCAACAATTATGGTGGGTACACAATTACACTATCTACCTTTTATTTATAAAGGATACTTACTAATCATTAAGGAAAAAGTTTGCTTTCTAATAAAAAACTGTTATAAGAATGTCTGCTTGTAATTATCCCAAGAAGAAATCTGAATGATCATTAAATGCAGATTCCACACAAGAATATTGCATTTGCTTTCACTCATAAATAATGCCCCTTTTAGCTTCTTAAAACAAGTAATTGAGCACCTTTTTTCAGGTTACATTTCCTTCTTTGTTTTAATAAACACGTCTAGGGTCATACCATGTCATAGAACGAAACCAATCAATGCTTTCGGGCCCACAAGTTGTTATTGCAAGGCTTAGGATTAAAAGGTCGGCTATTCTGAACCATCAGTGAAAATTTTCTTAGCCTATTTTTGGTTTGAAGGGGATGTTTATAACTCATTTATTCCCTCACAGTTTCAGAGAGGGCCAAAGCCTTTGGTGGAAAGAGCCTTAACATCATCGGATGAATAATAATGAGTTTAAAACATTTTCACATTACTGTTGTTATAAAATTATTTAACTGATATAAATAGTTTTATTAAAGACACCTGGAAAACAGGATAAAAATAATTCATCTAATTTCAAGTGTCAGAATGATCCATGGAAAAACATTTTTAAATGGGTGCTATGCCTTTTTTAGAGTTATTCTGTGAGGACAAAAATCTAGTTTAGTAGCAAAGACTGAGAAAGATGTTCAACCAACGAAAATATTGAATATGGACATTAGAGATAAAGGAAAGCATACAGATATTCTTATAACAGCTGATAATTAAAAACAGAGAGCTCAAAAATAATGTGGTGCTACTTTGGAAAGAAAGGCCTATTGCTTGGGCACCTAGGTCTTGGCTCTGCCTATCATCTCTCTGCCTGACATGCAGCCAGACATGAAATACACATCACTCTGGCATCTTAGTCTATCTTTATTTTTCATTTTAGCATCCCAGTCCATTCTCATGCCTGACAATTGCAATATTGGCCCAATTGGTCTGGCAGCCCCCAGCCTCAATTTGCAATTGACCCTAGGCATGTCGATAGAATCACCTAATCAGAACAACATTTTTCCTAACTGTTCTCTATGCTCAAAAGCCTTCAATGGCTGATCTTTGCATACAGGATAAGTTCGAAATATTTAATAATATCCAAAGTCCTTCTCAGTTGAAATATTATCTTCCTTTTATATGCCACAGTGATAAAATTTACACTAATTTTGAAGAGAAGAGTGATTTCAAAAAAATATAAAATTATTGGAAAGTGATTGCCTCAGTGCCTTGTGATTAGTATACATTTGATAAATGTTTGCTGATTAAATTTAATTGTACATTCTTTCTTACTTCTTCCTGCCATAATATTCTTTACCACAAACATTTCAGGGTATTTTTCTTGACCATAACCTTTGCTGTGAAACAATTGTATTCTGTAAAATGTTACTCTTCCCCACCCCCGGCCACTATTCCAGCTGTGGAGCCATCTGTGGAAATTTCATCCAGAGAGGCCTCTCCGTATATTTTTCTCAGAAGCCTAGTCACTAATCCTCTACAAACAAAGATGTGAACTCAGTCTAATCTTATAATGATTGAACAGGGTAGGAGAAGGGGAGAAAAGTGAATTAGTACACTTAAAGGAGGAAAAAGAAGAAACAGGAGGTACTTTAGCGCTTCTTCTAGGGTCTTAAAAATGAGTCCAAACACATCTATTATTGAGATGAATTTAATTTATTTCTAAACAACCAGTTCTGTGAATCTGAATATAAGAAATTGTTTATTCTCTGATTAGTATAACTTTTATTCTAGTTCTTAACAACTACTGTTGTTACACTAATATGTGTTCTGGAATAAAATAAGTGTTCTAGTTCTTAATTAATTCTCTGTCTTACACACACACACACACACACACACACTCACAGCCACTGAAATTCTGAACTGACTTGATCATGCAAAAAGATATGCCTGTATTGTTCAACAAGAAATTATGGTATGGATGGGTGCTTCATTTAACCCCACACATATATGCACGATATTCTATGATGTAGGCACTAATTTACCCCATACTGAGAGAAAAGGACAGAAAATAAAGAGCAGAATAAACTTGTTAAAATGCAGAAATCCCACTCACAGAAAAGAGGAGACCTCATGTCTACATTTGGATACTGAAGGCTTCCAAATTGCAGTTTTCCTGTAACCCTTTATTGTCTTATAAATCCCTCTTTTCTTTTGTTTACATTTAATTCATTTTTGCCTCTTTTAACCGTGGACATCTAACAGAGATTATCCCATCATTCTTCCCTAAATATCAGATATCCAATATGCATTTCCTTAAGAGATGGGTCTCACTGTCTTATCCAGGCTGGACTCCAACTCCTGGGTTCAAGGGATTCTCCCACCTCAGTCTCCATAGTAGATAGTCAATATGCATCTTTATCTCCAATTATTTGTTAATTATTTTTTTCTTCTAAAGTTTTTTTTCCCTTCTGTTCAGCTATTACTTCAAATATGAAATAAAATCTCTTTCTTCCAGGCTTTCTTCCGGGAAGCTTTCCCCAACACCTGCAACTTTAAGTGATCAATCTCTCACTGAACTGTGACACTGTTGTATGTACTATTCATTTAGCACCTAATTTTCACTCCTTCATTTGACAGTTTTGTCTGTGAATATCTATCCTCCCACATCTGATTGTAATCCCTCAATCGTAGTTACCAGGTTTTAAGCATGTTTCTATATTGAATGTAAACTGCAGTGCTCTGAAACGTCTTTATACTTCACAAAACTCAGTTGACTATGAAGATGATAAGAGGACTAAGAGAAAGTTACAGGAATTTTAAATGACCATGGGGTTAATGTTTCTCAAAATGTGATTTGAAGAAGACCCGTCCTTCGAATTTGAAAAACTGATTATCTGGGATCTAAATTTTTTAACAGGTAGTTCTACTTGATTAATAGGCACCCACTACTTCATGAACTGACCAGATAGCCATGAAATTCTACAACTGGCAAGAGCCATAAATGTTTGCTACTAATTTCTCACTAAAAGCAAGATAAAAATACTGAACATATATGTATTATATTAGTGAGGTACAGGAGCACTAAGTTTTGGTCATTGGGACTGGGATTCCAGGTATTTCACATCATGCTGTGTAGTATCTTATGCCACCCCTATTACAAAGCTGAATCTGCAGATACTGTACAAAAGTTTTATGCCACAGCCTACAAGGGAGAAAAGATTATTTTCAAGCAACTTTCTGGATGGTATTGTAGAAGGACTTTGAAAAAGAGAAATATATTGATTTCCAATGTCACTGTGTTTTGCTTACAAAGGAGTTTTCAGAGTTATTTCAAATATTGGAAACACATGAGATGAATATAATTTTTAGTGGGTATAAGTCTTCAAAAATACAATGAGAAATTTCTGATTAGGCTCTTTACCAAACATAGCTGACAAAGGCACGTTTTCACCTCAGACATCCCATTTCAATGATTTTGCCTATTGTTATGTTGAATTATCATTCACCTGCTATAGATGAATCAATTTCTGCAATTAAAATGGTGCTGTACACCAAGTGACAAGGGAACAAAAAAGCGTAAAGACAAACCCACTGGCCAGAGAAAGTGGCAGGTGATGGGTACACAATGAAGCCATTACACCTGGCTGTTAATTTGGACGATTAACCTGCACTTCTTAAATTTTCCGTTTTCACATGAACCCGAGTAAACATGCACTGATCTCTCTCTCTCTGAATTGTCAAGGCAGATGTTGGTATAAAGCTGGCTTGACAGGTATAAAAATATGCTGAATTATCCATCAACTAATTGCAGCAGTTGGCTGGAGCAGAGGTTAGCTCTGAGTGGCCAACCAGACAGCCAGACACACAGTCTATCATTTTAAAGAAGACTACAAAGGACGATGTTGTTGATTGATTTAAAGAAAAAGTCTACTCTGGTACATATGAAAACTAAATAAATTATAAAACGTGGATAATTTGCTACACTGACAGCAGCAAAATTAAGGGATTTAGTTTCCCACACCAGTTTAATTCACTAATGTCCCTACTGAAACCATTAGCAGGGTGGCATTTGCCGTAATTGTAATTTTTTCCCCCTACATGTGCTTAATTTGCAGGAAGTTTAACATCTGTGAAGCTGCTCATCTGACGGCCCCAGAGATTAAAGTCTGTTTATTGGCATAGGGGAGAGGCTGAGGCAGCCTAAAATCTAGGCTAATATTATCACCTTTGCCATGCATGTTTTTCCACAATCTGGAGACCGGTGAGCTGGGATAAAGAGGCCTGTGAGACCCATTAGACAATGATTAATCCCATATGCAAAAGTATGCTTTTTGAGCTGGGCATGATGAGATAACAAAAATCAATTCGGTGTTTATTGCAAGACAAAATATTTTCTCCCCGAAACATCTTCTTAAGGACATAATAGCTAGAATCCAGGAGTGTGATAATTATTGGAAAGTGTTAAATTAGAGTTCTGGGCCACTAGAAAGAACATTTTACAATTTTCTGGCCAAAGCCTACTTTTGCTAGAGAGACAATAAAGTGTGTACTGGGTAAAGCCTGGGCTCTGTCATCAATTCTTAAGGTGAACCCTGCTTCCAACATTGACCATGGTTTTGCCAAATTATTTCTCTTTCTTCTGTGCCTTTCTTTTTCTTTAAACTAGACAATAATAACTAGTGCCTACATTGTAAGTATTTGTGAGGATTAAATGAATTAATACATAGACAGTACTTAATGTTTGACATTAAAAAAACAAGCAATATTAACTATCATTGCTCTTCTCATGCAATAATATCAATAACTTCCCTAACAAATACCCTACCTTGGAGTGAGACTCTTTTGTCCTTAATGATATAAATAGGTAATTTCTTCATGCGTGTCTTTCAAAAAGTACATCCATTCTTGTGCTCTCTCACCCTCTCTATTTCCTTCTGTGTCTCTCTCTCATTCACCCTCTTGCTCTTTTTCTATCTCTCTTTTATATCTCAATTAAAAAAAGTTAATATGGATTTTTCAAGTTTTGTCTCCCTTTGTTCAATTTCCTTTCTCTCTCTAGGTGTACATAAAGAAAAAGCAACATCTGTGATACTCCTTATACTACTTTGTGGTATGTGGATACTTCTTATACATCATTTATGGAATAAGGTGATCATACATGACTAAAGATGGCCCCACACAGTTATTACAGACTTTTTAAAATTATGTTTCACATCCAAGAGAGATGTGTAGATCTTTCAGCTCTTGCTGCTGATTATGCCAGTACCTTGATAGCATTGATTCTTTAATCTTCTCTTGATTCTTCCTTAAAAAGTGTCTTTGAAAAATTAATTTTGTACAGGGCCAACTACATAATTTATGGGGCCAGTGAAAAATAAGAGTGTGAATCCCTTGTTAAAAAATATTGAGAATTTCAATACAGTGGCAGCAAAGTGTTAAACCAAGTGCTGGTTCTTTTTTTATTTTATTTTATTTTTATTTTTTTTAGTTTACTATTATTATACTTTAAGTTTTAGGGTACATGTGCACAATGTGAAGGTTAGTTACATATGTATACATGTGCCATGCTGGTGTGCTGCACCCATTAACTCGTCATTTAGCATTAGGTATAACTCCTAATGCTATCCCTCCCCCCTCCCCCCTCCACCCACCCCCAAGTGCTGGTTCTTCTGAATGCTAGGCCCTGTGTGGCTGCCCAGGTCACGTGGCCGTGAAACTGGTCTTGATTTTAAGTGTTTGGCCCTTAGAAACAGAATCTGAACTTAATCATAGTCATCTGTAACATTTGTATTGGTGCCTTACCAATAAGAATTATTTTGTCTGACATGTGGACATAGGCTCTTATTTACAGGACTTTTTCACAGGTTGAAAATTGCTAAGTAACTACCCTTACTTTTTAAAAGTTGAAAATTTTCCTGACTCTTCAAGAGCTTCCCTGAATATTTTAGAAAAAGATAATATAAATAAAAACACACATTTCATAATTAAATACAAACCTTTTGTGTCAGCTCTAAAAACTATCAGTTGACTGGTTGGGGGGAAGGAAATTTAGCATAAAGGAAATGAAGGAGCAGCAAAAAAAATAAGAAAAAAAAAGTGATGTACCTGAGGATGCATAAATTCTCCCTTATTTAGCCTCTGTTTATATCACATTAATATTTTTGTTGATTAATCTATTGCTTTTATTACCTAACCTTATTTACAAATGGGATGCCTTAATTTTTTTCCTTCTCATAACTGAAAACCAAAATATTTCAGTAACATTTTCTTAAACGTATCTGTTATTTTTCACAACTGTTATTTTTATTTTGAGAATTTTTCATGACAATAGAATTTAAAAATATGACATCACTGACTGTCATTTCAAGTTTCAGTGCTCAACTTTCAACATTATTATTATTATTTCTAAGAAAATCAATGGAAATACTGCAAAGCAGAATATTACGATGTAAGGTAAGAAAACTATAGAAAATTCTAACAATAACCAAGAAATAATACTATCGGCGTTAGATCTCTACATACCAATCCATGAAGCATTAGTAACTAAAGGAGTATAGTTATGTTCTAATACTGAGACATAAATGAAATCTTTCAGGTATCACGGCTCTGTGATTTTCAGTATTATTATATGGATGTATTACCTTAAAACTTATTAAAAGACGATATATATATTTTAATATACATATTCAAAAAGACCTGTCAGGACATCAATATTATGCCCAACTTTATAGAAAATGAAGCTCAGAAGAGTTAAGTGATATTTTCCAATGTTATAGAGCTAACAGCAAAACATCCTTGGAGAACTTATGGGAAAGGGTGTTAGAATCAAAGAGCAGAAGTGACATCATTGTAGCTGTTTACAATAAGTTATTTGGGGAGGTGGAAGGAATAAATGATTGGCTCATGAAACATAAAAGAGAACTGCCACATGTCTATTTACTGATTAATTCGTGTTTGCACCCATTTATACATTTATTCAAGTACTCTTTCCTTTAATAAATGCTCACTGTTGAAAACTGCAACGAATGTATATGGTTGTCTTATTCAAGTAAAAGTGGTGAATTGAATACATTCTTGACTTTTCTTGTTGACAGTTTGATCACTGCGAGGCTAGGAAATAATGAGAAAACTCCTGCCATGAATAGAATTCTGCCAAGCAGGAAGAATATTTGCTGAAGTGGAAGTGGTGGGAATCTCACGAAGAAGGGGAACAGCCAGTACCAGCCATTACAAAAGGCGGATTTGAAAATGTTTAAAATATTTTTCCTCAGACTTGGCTACAAATTAAAATAATCCAGGGAGTTTGTTTTTTTCGATAAAGTATTCATAGAACCCTTCCCCAGAGATGTTGTTTTCATTAAATGAAGCCCAGGTGAGTGTATGTGTCTGTGTGTGTTGATGATGTGTGTGATTCTGTTGTGTGTTTGTATGCTCCCTTAGGTTTCAGAAATTAATTCAGGAAAGATAAACCAGAAACGGTAGAAAATGGTACCTAAATGGTAGAGTGGAAATAAAGAAGAGAGACTAAAGCTGGGAATTAAACTGCTCTAAGAAAACATTTTGAACTCCGATTTTAAAAAGTATAAATCTTATATAAATTTTAAAAATAAAATTAAAAAGGAAGGGAAACAAGAGTAAATACTAAAATTAAAAGTAAACAGAAACCAGTGAGCAAGAAGTCTAATTGCACACTTAGTAGGCTATAGTGTAAAAACAAAAATGCTACAAACACACTTGTAGTTTACATAACAGATTTACTTAGTATGTGTATTTTTATCATGATGTTGGTATAGTAATTCTTAATTTTTTTGTTTTATTGTAGGATACAGCAAAATAAATACAATTATATTTCTAATAGCCAGGGTTGCCACCATGGGTGAACGAATATACAAATATGGAATGCAAGAGAATGCGAAAGAACCCTATGTTGTTAGATTTCAACTGGACTTATTAATATGGAGTTTTGTTTAGATGTATCCCTCATTGTAGATCTGCTCGCTGAAAGGACATAGAAACAATAAAACCACACTAGTCACAAGCACACACAGTAGTACTCAGATCAGGTTTCTAATCACTGCTAAAAGGAACTAGTACTCTTTGGAAAGTCGGGTCAGGGAATAACTTCTTTGGCCAGAAAGCAAGGAAGATCTCAAAGAAAGATGATGATGTCTTCACTCAGTTTGAACAGAATCCCAGTAGCCATATCTGGAAAAAATTTAGCATAAAAATAATGACAACGATAGATTATATTACATTGAAGAAAACAAAAGTCCATTAATCTCTATACTCAAAGTAAGGGAGAAGAAACAGAGATGACACTGTTTTCTGTTTGTTTTTTTTACGGAGTCTCGCTCTGTCGCCCAGGCTGGAGTGCAGTGGCGTGATCTCGGCTCACTGCAAGCTCCGGCTCCTGCGTTCATGCCATTCTCCTGCCTCAGCCTCCCGAGTAGCTGGGACTACAGGCGCCCGCCACCATGCCTGGCTAATTTTTTGCATGTTTAGTAGAGACTGGGTTTCACTGTGTTAGCCAGGGTAGTCTCGATCTCCTGACCTCGTGATCCGCCCACCTCGGCCTCCCAAAGTGCTGGGATCACAGGCGTGAGCCACCGCGCCTGGCCCGACACTGTCTGTTTTTAAAAGAATGTCTGCTAATAAATGTAAAGGAAAAAATAGAGTTAAAAGGTCACCATTTTTATAACCACCAATGTAATAATTGGTAAGGGTCATCATTAATTAATAAAACTATTCTGATATTTTTACAGTCTCAAATCATTGCACCACAGATAGCTTATTTGTTACAGAAGGGGAAGACACCTTCAGAAAGGAGAGCTCTAGTGGGAAACATTTGAATATAGGATCCAAACTTAACATCGCCAGAATTGAGACAAACTACATCATGCATTTACTGATATGATGCAGTGGGAATAACATACTAAGACCTGTTGAGCAAAAGTCCTAACTGTTCGACTTGGATCTAATCATGAGGAAATAATCAAACACATGGGATATTTTATGGGTCAACTATCTTAGACTTACAAAACACCATTGTTATAGCAAAACGTATTCAACAAATCAAAAAAAAAGAAAGAAAAACAAAGGAAAGGGGAAAAGACCCAGGTATTGTTCTAGAATGAAAGCAATTAGAGATATTACAACCCAATATGATGCATGTCCTTTGTTTATCTCTCAGATACAAAAATTTAAAAAAAAACTATAAAAGAAAGTTTGGGCATAAGGGAAGTAATTGAAATATAAATTATATTTTAGATTATATTATTTTATCAGTATTAAATTATTGTATATGCCAATGGCCATGTTATATAAAGAAATGTTTTTGTTCTTAAACATGTGTTAAAATTTTAGAGCAAAAAATATTGAAACTTCAAGTGGCTCCGTGCATGTGGAGAGATTATGGGGTGGCAGACAAAAAATCAATGTGGCTTGTTTGGAGGTTCTAGCAGGGCAGCACAACTACTCTAATACCCTTGACCAAAGAATAGTCTTCCTCCACTGAAGAAAGTCATCCTACTCCACTGAGCACGCAGCTTGGGAAGGACACACATGGAGCAGTAGGGGAGGAAGGTAGCACCTGCCTAGCCAGTTACACCAGCTGAATCAACCTTGGCAATCAGTGGAGTAATAGAGGTCATTATGTTAAGTGAAGTAAGCCAAGCACTCAAAGACAAATATTGCATGTTCTCATTTTTATGTGGGAACTAAAAGAAGTGGACAAGTATATCCACTGTTGCCACTTTTATTCAAGATAGTATTAGAAATCCTAGCCAGAGCAATTAGCCAAAAAAAAAAAAAAAGAAATAAAAGGCATCCAAACATAAAGGGAAGGAGTAATATTGTCTCTGTTTGAAGATGATGTAATTTTATACAGAAAACCATCAAAGACTTCACCAAAAACTGTTAGAACTGATAAACAAATCAGTAAACTTGGAGGATGCAAAATCAGCATACAAAAATCAATAGCATTTCTATACATGATCAACAAACTATCCAAAAAAGGAATTAAGAAAATGAAAACAATCAACAGAGTGCAGAAACAACCTATAGAATGGGAGAAAATGTTTGCAATCTATTCATCTGACAAGGGGTTAAGATAAAAAATATATACGAGGAGCTCAAACAACAGAATAACAAAAACACAAATAGGCAAATTAAAAAAATGATGAAAGTCTGGAATAGACATTTATCAAAAGAAGGCACACAAATAGCCAACAGGTTTGTAAAAATGTTCACCATCACTAATCTCAAGGAAATGAAAATCAAAAGCACAATGAGAAATCAGCTACCCCCAGTTAGAATGTCCTTTATCAAAAGACAAAATATAACAAGCATGGGAGAGGATGTGGAGCAAAGGGAATCCATTTCACTGTTGCTGGAAATGTAAATTACTATAGCCATTATGAAAAATGGTAGGAAGCTTTCTCAAAAAATGTAAAAATAGAAGTACCTTATGATCCAGCAATCCCACTTCTAGGTACATATACAAAAGAATTAAAATTAGAATATTGAAGAGATATCTTCACTTCCATGTTTATTACAGCGCTATTCACAATAGCCAAGATGCAGAATCAACCTAAGTGTTCACCAATGTATGAATGAATAAAGAAAATGTGGCATAAGTACACAGTGGAATACTATTCAGCCATAAAATGAATGAAATCCTGCCATTTGCAGTAACACAAGTAAATCACATAGAAGTGCAGAGTAGCATGGTGGTTACCAGGGATTGGGGAGATGGTGGTCACAGGGTAAAAAGATTCACTTAAACAGGAGAAATAATTTTTGAGATCTATTTCTCAGCATGTTGACTATAGTTAACAATAATGTTGTGTATATTTTAAAATTGCTGAAAGAGAAGATTTTAAATGCTTGTAACACAAAAGAATGATAAGTATGTGAGGTAATGTGTATGTTAATTACATTGATTTAATCATAATCCCATAATATATATATATACATCATCAGGTAACATTGTACCTGATAAATACATATAATTATTGTTAATTAAAATATAATGATTAATATAACAAATAAAAAGTAGTATAATTTATCAATTAATATAGAAAATTTTAACTTCACCTTTTTTTAAAAAAACACAGAAATTAATACACTTATAATACCCATTATGAAAGAGGTTCAGTAAAATTATACTTATAAAATCTCCCTGGAAGACAGCTTTGCAAATACTTACCTAAAGCCTTAATAATACATATTTTTTTTTTACTTCAACTTAAACCTGGAAACTTTATTTCAAGAATTAGGAAGTTCTAGCCAGAGCAATCTGGCAAGAGAAAGAAATAAAAGTCCTCCCAATAGGACAGAAAAGATGTCAAACTATTTGTCTTTGCCAATGATATGATTTTATACCTAGAAAACCCTAAAGACTCTGCCAAAAGTCTCCTGGTAAACAACTGCAGTAAAGTTTCAGGATACAAAATTAATGTACAAAAATCAGTAACATTTCTGTCCACCAATAACATTCAAGCTGAGAGCCAAATCCAAAACACAATCCCATTTTAAAAGCCAAAAAATAAAAACTAAAATACCTAAGAATACATGTAAATGAGGAGGTGAAAGGTCTCTACAAGGAGAACTACAAAACACTTCTGAAATAAATCATAGGTCACACAAATGAAAAAACATTCCATGCTCATGGATAGGAAGAATCAATGTCATTAAAATGACCACACTGCTCAAAGCAACCTATGGATTCAATGCTATTTCTGTAAAACTACCAATGCTATTTTCCACAGAACTAAGAAACACTGTTATAAAAATCATATGGAACCAAAAAAGAGCCCTAATAGTCAAAGCAATAGTAGAGCAGAAAGAACAAAGCCAGAGATATCACATTGCCTGACTTCAAACTCTGGTATAAGGCTATAGTAACAAATACAGCATGGTAGTGGCACAAAAACAGACACATAGACCAATGAAACAGAATTTACCCTAGAAATAAAGCCACACACTTACAGCTATCTGATCTTCAACAAAATTGACAAAAATAAGCAGTGGGGAAAGGACTCCTTAATAAATGGCGCTGGGATAGCTGGCTAGCCATATGCAGAAGAATAAAACTGGATTTCAACCTATCACTACATACAAAAATTAACCCAAGATGGATTAAATATTTAAATATAAGACCTCAAACTATAAGAATTCTAGAATAAAACCTAGGAAACACCATTCTGGACATCGGCCTTGGAAAATAATTTATGAATAAGTTCGCAAAAGCAATTGGAACAAAAACAAAAATTGACAAATGGGACCTAATTAAATTAAAGAGCTTTTGCATGGCAAAAGAAACTGTCAAAAGAGTAAAGAGACAACCTAGAGAATGGGAGAAAATATTCACAAACTATGCATCCAACAAAGTTCTAATATCCAGAATCGATAAGGAAATTAAAATATCGAACAAACAAAGAAGAAATAATCCTATTTAAATATGGACAAAAGACATGAACAGACACTTCTCGAAGACAGACATAACCTGGGTGAGGTGGCTCATGCCTGTAACACCAGCACTTTGGGAGGCTGATATGGGAAGATCACTTGAGCCCGAGAGTTAAAGAATAGCCTGGGCAACATAGGGAGACCCTGTCTCTAAAAAATAATAATAAAAATAAATAATAAATAAAAAAGAAGACATATAAGTGGCCAAAAACCATGAAAAGTGTTCAACATCGCTAATCATCAGAGAAATGCAAGTCAAAACCACAATGAGATACCATCTCTCACCAGCCAGAAAGGTTATTACTAAAAAGTCAAAAAACAACAGATACTGGCAAGGCTGTGGAAAAGGGGAACACTTATATACTGTTGGTGGAAATGTGAATTAGTTTAGACACTGTGAAAGCAGTTTGGAGATTTCTCAGAGAATTTAAAAGAGAACTATCATTTGGCCCATCAATTCCATTACTGGGTATATATCCAAAGAAAATAAATTGCTCTGCCAAAAAAACACACGCCTTGTCTGTTAATTGCAGCGCTATTCACAATAGCAAAGACATGGAATCAACCCACGTTTCCCTCAGCAATGGACTGGATAAAGAAAATGTGGAACGTATACATTGTGAATACTATACAGGCATGAAAAAATAATAAACTTATGCCCTTTGCAGCGACACCAATGCAGGTGGAGGCCATTATCCTAAGCAAATTAATGTAGGAATAGAAAAACAAATACCACATGGTCCCACTTATAAGTAGGAGCTAAATATTAGCTACCATAGGATAATAGACACTAGGGACAAGTAGAGGGAGAGGGTGGGAGGAAGAGAAGCAGGGGTTGAAAAACTATTGCGTACTATGCTCAGTACCTGGGTGATAGTATCAACCATACCCCAAACCTCGGCATCATGTCATATACCCAAGAAACAAACCTGTACATGCACTCTCTCAATCTAAAGTAAAAGTTGAAATTTGTTTAAAAAAGAATTAATGATTTGGAATTAAGGATACACTCAAGACTTAAGTACAAAGATGTTTACCATAGCATTGTTTATAATTGTGACAAATTAGAAATAGCCTAAGTAGCAAAAGTAAAGGCTTGGTTAAATAAATTGTTGCACATGTATACAATTGAACATCTTGTGGCCATTAAAATATACATAGGACAATTATATTTATTAATGTGAAAATGTCAGCATATAGAAAAAATAATAAAAGGTTATAAACTAGCACAAATCTATTTTACTTACAAAACAAAACAAGTTTGTATAGTATATATAAACAAATAAAAGGAGATTCAGTAAACTATTATGTTTAGCTATTTTTGGTGAGATGAGAGGTGTTTTTTCTTATGTTTTTTTATTTTCTAGCATTTAAAAAATATTAATGCATACGACTAAAAAATATTATAAAAAAAGAATATGCAAATAAAAAAGATTGTAAGGGCTACTAAGGGAGCTCTAAAAATCACTCCAGTTTTGAAGACTTTATTCAAATGAAATACAGGAGCATTTCTAACACTATCATTATGCCGTATGAAGGCAGTGTCAGGAGGGTCATGGTCACATTGAGCTTAGAATAATACAAAATAAGATGAAAGGGGATTTTTTTTTTTTTTTTTTTTTTTTTGCAGAGCAGGAAGAGAAAGGGTGAAGAAACGACAAAGAAGAACAGAACAAAAAAAAGACAGAAAATAAGAACCCTTTACGACACTTTTCTGTCAAGAAAAGTGATGTTCAGATTTCTAAAGGCAGAACAAAGTTTACTAAGAGAGAATCAATGCCTGTAATACGCAAAAAAATATTGCAAGAAAGCACTTACATATTAGGGACTCTGACACATGGGCAAAGGTAGTAACAGAAGGAAATGGGGCAAGGAAACTGGGACAAGTCAGAGTAAACAGTTATGCGAAAATTTAAAAGATGGGATGAATTGAAGGGAATGTCTAATATTTGCAAGTAAATGGAAATTCCAGGAGTACAAGGCCCTTGAAAACTGACAGTAAATACAGCTGCTCTGCAAGGAGGCTGCCTTAAAACTGCTCTGGCAAAAGAGCTGCAGGGCCCTCTCAGCCCAACTAAGGCTTCAAAAATCTCTAATTCATCAAACTAGTCGTCCAGCAAACTGATTTGTTTGTAATATGACCTGCTTCCTTTCAAGTCTTTACCGGAAGATCATTTATTAAAATAAGAATAATCTTTGAATAAACCATAGCTCTCATTATAAGATATATTAATTAATATTATTTATTAATTGATATTAATATTATTAGTTGATATTAATGAATAAATAAATGTATAATGCCTTATGATTATTAATCCTGAGCATTTATCAAATGCTTATTTCATAGCCAGACAACCCTGATGTATGCTTTTATTTACATTAGGACATTAAATTATTGCATCTACACTGTGAAGTAATTGCAGTTATGTTTTCCAGTTTATACATAAGAAAACCATCTGTAAAATGGAAACATTTAAATGACTACTAAAACATTGTACTTTTTGCCTTCCTTTATGGGTGTCCTAGCATTCAAGAGTCCTTAGTGCATAATATAAGGGAATTTCATTTGTCCTAGTAGTTGGCAAATATTTTATTTCTAATTGATTAGTTTTTGTATGTTTGTTAATTTTTTTTTGTCATTTTACTTATGCTTCATTGTGTAACATAATTTGATGTTCTATGCTATGTCTTTTAGGTTACAAAAAGAAATGTAGGGTGACATTGTGAAATAAAAAACATTTTAAGTAAAGATCCCTGGTAAGAAAACTAAGTTGGAGTTAGACAGCTAGATAGCAGTCTATTTGAGGCTCTGCAAATGACTTTCTCTAGTACTTCTGGTTCAAACTGACAACACTTTTTTGATGCTCTACATGCATCTGGATCTTCTGTAGAAAAGCATTTCCTCACATTACATTGCACTGCTGCAGGAATCAAACTGATTATAAACTGGTAAACAGGCTGGTATGCAGGCCACATGATTAATTTTTAACTGTGCAGTTACTTCCATAAGACAGCCTGTCAGGGGACTTTAAGTTAGTGAAAATAATTAGGTCTCTTATTTCTAATAAAAATATTCCATGTACAATTGCTCTATCTTGACTATTAAGTGGATAGACGAAAGAGAAAATATGTCTTTCTGCAACAGTTTCTTGTGACCTATTAGCATAAAAGCTACGCCATCTATTTTCATTGTACATGCTTGTTAAAATTAGAAAATAAACACATTTGAACATTTTCTACCGCATCTCATCTCAAATGATGTTTTTAATCTCAACAGCTGACTTTAAGGAAGTGAGTTTTGCTTGATTTGTTTGTTGTTTTTTTTAATACCAGATCTTCTTACCTTTTCTGTTAGTGTGTGTTTATTAGAAGTTAGTGCTTTCTTGTTCTGACATAGATAAAAATGAATATTGTCATGCAACTGTGCTAGACGTAAGTAGAATGAGAGACATTAGAACATGCCCACTGTACTACCCCAGCAGAAATGTTAAGTGTGAAGAAATATCCTACCTGAGACCGAGTCCTCACATAAAAAACTTTGTAGGGAGCCAGTGGGCATCCTTGGTGGACTCTCCAATCTCCAAAGATACTGCTCTTATTAATGTGGTGTTTCACAAATGGGTTGATTCTAAGGGAAGTTCGTAACAGCATCTGCAAAAAATTACAAGAGTAAGTACTAATTTGGACAAAATAATCCATCTCCAAAAATACTAAATAATGGATGCTGTGAATAACTTCCCACCTTAAGCTACCTTCCTCCCATTGTCAGAATGATTGCTTTCTTTGTCGTACCTAAACTGCATATGAGAAACTATCCATTTACTTGCAGTGGCATTAAATCCTCTTTCCTACAAACTGTAAAAGCTCCATTTTCTCAACTTGCCAACTTTTATCCTACTTACCAACTATGCAATCAGAAATAGTAAAAAATGTGGGTTCAACAAATTGCTGAACTATTCTATCAAGCAATATGTCAAGGTCTAGGTCTTTACTGCCTTTTAAGAAAATGTACTGCTTTTCTTGTACGTGCTGATAATCTATAGCTCATACAGACGGCAGTTATACCGCTCTCCTTGCCCTCCACTCAACACTACCTTAAAAGACACACTGATATTTATGAACACATAAAATCACACGTGACCTATTTATCTAACCTATATGTTCCATTATAACATCAACTCAATTCTCAGCCAAGAACCGTTTTCTGAAAAGTTGCCAAAATTTAAGTATTCTCTAATGAATTTGCCAGAGGTGGGTGAGAAGTTAAAATTATCCAAATATATACAGATTTCACAAGAAAATAATAATGTATTGCACTAAAAATTAAACTGTGATTAGAATGTTGGAAATGTTTTTCTTTACTGGCAAGTGGTAGAAGATAGAAAATTGTAAATTTGTTATTTTTCATTATTTTATAGTTTTTGTATTATATTTTTGATAGGGAAAAAATATGACATATATAAGCATATGTGTATTTTCCAATGAGCTTCTTTACATAATTTTTATGTGCACAAATTATGCCTGTAACTACTCAAAACAGTTTTCTATAGAAATTTTCACTTCAAGAAAATACACTCTGATAAAACAGTAATTGTAATAATAATCATACCTAACATTATTGAAGGATTATTTAGGAACCAAGCACAGTTCTAAGGGGCTCTCTGTATTAGCTAATTAATTACAACATTCCTATGAGGTAGGTACTCAGGAACCACGTTTTACAGATGAGTAAGCTGCAATGTTGAAAAGATGATTTAAATATTAGATAAAGTATTTCCTCAAATTGAACTACTCTTTTTGTTTAAGGTAAACATTGTAATAGCTGTATTATTACCTCTTCCAAGACATTAGGCTGCCTTAGTAAGTTATGGCTCACGGAAGTAAACAGTATAGATGATTTCAACTCATAAACACAGTATAATTCTTGAATATGTTTTAAATATATCATCCTAAAACTGAACCCTGACTTGACTTGCAACTTGGTTCTGAAGTGGTACAATGGTCAAATAACAGACACATTTGGCAAAAAGTAAAATGTAGGTTTTTATTAGGCAGTTTTCAATAAATGAATCAAAAGAAATCAAGAACTATTGACCTAAAAATATTTCTTCAACCTATTAAACATATTTGGAGAGCTATAGAAAAAAAAGCCCCTGACATAACAGATAAAATAAACTATGTCTGAAAGAAATATTAAGTTTCAAGCAAAAATAGTAAGCTGTAGGGATTACTGCACTGTCCCATATGGGAGTCGCTGTCCACATGTGGCTATTGGGCACTTGAATAAGTGGCTAGAACAAATTTGGATATGGTGTAAGTACAAGTAAGTACAAGATCTTTAATTTCACAAACTTAGTATTAAACAAAGGTAAAATATCTCATTAATAAATATTTATATTGATTGCATTTTGAAAGTATATTTATGATGTATTGTACATATTGGATTAAATAAAACATATTATAAATCAATTATGACTTTTATTTTACTCCTTTAATGTGGCTATCACAAAATTTTAAATTATTTACAAGTCTCTCATGCTCTAAAACATGTGGATGATGCAATAATTCTCTCTTGCTTTGTGGATACTATAATATGTTAGTCTCTATAGATAAGAGTGTTATAAGAAATTATGTTTAAAAGTCTTAAGATAGGAAGCCTTTAGAAAATCATATACGTAATATACCGTCATGAGCTGTTTAATGACAGTTTAGTCAATGACTAACTGCATATATGAGGTTAATCCCATAAGATTATGATGGGACTAGCCTCACTGTATTTTTACTGTACCTTTTCTAGGTTTAGGTAGGTTTAGGTACACAAATACTTATCATTGTGTTACAATTCCCTGCGATATTCAGTTTGGTAACATGCTGTACAGATTGGTGTCTACCAGCAAAAGGCTATGCCACATAACCTGCATTTGTAATAGGCTATACAATCTAGGTTTGTGTAAATACACTGTAATGTTCACAACAACATTACCTAATAACATATTTCTCAGAATATATCTCTGACGTTAAGTGACACATGACTGTATATAGGTCACTTTAAAAATTGAAATTAAAAGCCAAATATATAAACTAATGTGTATTTTTTTTCAAAAGTCATTACATGGTAGGCTTTTTATAAAGAAACGAAATGTGTTTACTCAAAAGCAGGTGCAAAAACACAACAGAAACTATGACACATGCTAATCAGAACACATACACACACAAAGAGTTGTCATTATATGAGAGAAATAAAAGGTGCCAAAGAGGATCCGGTTGCTTAAAAACCTTTCATGGTACAAAAAAGAATGCAAATTATAACAACAAATATTAAGGCTGTGCTTAATAGTGGTTAGGGGCATTGTTTCTACCCCTACTCTTCCTTGATTCTAGATGTGCCACAGAAACTGTGTGTCCTTAGGCTGGCTGCTTAATGTTATATTCCTGGTTCTAGCTATGTAGAGCCTGAGACAAAGGTTTGTATGCCAGTGGTTTGCTTAATTGTCTGATCCAAGGGAGAAGGCATTCAGGACAACTGGAATAAAAGAAAAGGAAGGAAAGCCAGTGCAAGAATGTCTTAGCAAGTTGGATACTGACTTCAAGACCTTCTAAGAAATTTTACAAAATGTCAGAGCTGTCTGTATTAGGAGGAAATGGGGAGAGCACATTTCCCATTGTCTCCTGACACCCATGGGTTAAGAATAGATGCACAGTCCTTCAGATTTTATTGGTTCATGTTCTGGTTACATGGCCCTGAGCTGTGCTTGTACAAATGTAGAGCTGTGGTTGTTTCATATTGCGGTGCAGAAAAGAGCTAAGAGCAAGATGTGAGAGGTATGCCTAGCCAAGGAATGGTGTGACTTCACCTTTGTTAAGCCCATCAACAACCTTTTGGAATTGGAATTGGTCACTGCAGCAATGGCTGAAAGAAGAGGTAAAGCAAAGGAGTTCTGAAATGATGTACAAGATGTGAAAATATTAAATACTCTCTTTCCCTGCTGACATCCATGTAAGATGGGACTTGCTCCTCCTTGCTTTCTGCCATGATTGTGAGGTCCCCCCAGCCATATGGAACTGTAAGTCCAATTATACCTCCTTTTTTTTTTTTTTTTTTTTTTAAATTGCCCAGTCTCGGGGATGTCTTTATCAGCAGCATGAAAGCAATCTATTAGATTGTTTGGTAAATTGGTACCAGGAATGGGGTGTTTTGAAAAGATATCCAAAAATGTAGAGGTGACTTTGGACCTGGGTAACAGGCAGAGGTTGGAAAAGTTTGGAAGGCTCAGAATAACACAGGAAAAGGGGGAAAGTTTGGAATTTCCTAGAAACTTGTTGAATGGCTTTGCCCAAAATGCTGATAGCAATATGGACAATAAGGTCCAGGCTGAAGTGGTCTCAGATGAAGAAGAAAAACTTGTTGTGAACTGGAGCAAAGGTGACTATTCTTATGTTTTAGCAGAGAGACTGACAGAGTTTGGCCCCTGTCCTGGAGATTTGTGGAATTATGAACTTGAGAGAGATGATTTAGGGTATTTGGCAGAACAAATTTCTAAGCAGCAAAACATTCAAGAAGTAACTTTGGTGCTGTCAAAAGCATTCAGTTATAAAAGGGAAAAAGACCATAACAATTTAAAAAATTTGAAGCCCAACAATGCGAAAGAAAAGAAAAATCCATTTTCTGAGGAGAAATTTAAGCTGGCTGCAGAAATTTGCATAAGTAACAAGTAGCCAAATGTTAATCCCCAAGACAATGCGGAAAATGTCTCTAAGGCACGTCAGAGGTCTTCACCACAGCCCCTCTCATCACAGTCCTAGAGGCCTAGGAGGAAAATGTGGTTTCCTGGGCCGGGCCCATGGTCCCCAAGCTGTGTGCAGCCTAGGGACTTGGTGCCCTGTGTCCCAGCCACTCTAGCCATGGCTGAAAGGGGCCAACATAGAGCTCAGGCCATGGTTTCAAATGGTGCAAATCCCAAGCCTTGGCAGCTTCCACATGGTGTTGAGCTTATGGGTACAAGTCGTCAAGAACTGGGTTTTGGGAACCTCTGCCTAGATTTCAGATGTATGCAAACACCTGAATGCCCAGGCAGAAGTTTGTTGCAGGGGCAGGGCTTTCATGGAGAACCTCTGCTAGGGCAGTGCAGAAGGGAAATGTAGGGTCAGAGCCCCCAAACAGAGTCCCTCCTGGGGCACTTCCTAGTGGAGCTGTGAGAAGAGGGCCACCATCTTCAAGAACCCAGGATGGTAGATGCACCTACGGCTTTCACTGTGTGCCTGGAAAAGCTGCAGACATTCAGTGCAACCCCATAAAAGCAGCTGGGAGGGAGGCTGTACCCTGCAAAGCCACAGGGGCAGAGCTGCCCAAGACCATGGGAACCCACTCTTGCATCACTATGACCTGGAAGTGAGACATGGAATCAAAGGAAATCATTTTGGAGCTTTAAGATTTGACTGTCCTGCTGGATTCCAGACTTTCATGGGCCCTGTAGCACTTTTATTTTGGCCATTTTTTCCCATTTGGAACAGTTGTATTTACCCAATATCTCTACCCCCATTGTATCTAGGAAATGACTAGCTTGCTTTTAATTTTACAGGCTCATAGGCGGAAGGGACTTGCCTTGTCTCAGTTGAGACTTTGGATCATGGACATTTGGGTTAATGCCAAAATGAGTTAAAACTTTGGGGGACTGGGGCCGGATGCAGTGGCTCACACCTGTAATCCCAGCACTTCAGGAGGCCAAGGTGGGCAGATCACCTGAGGTTGGGAGTTTGAGACCAGCCTGACCAACACGGAGAAACCCAGTCTCTAGTAAAAATACAAAAATTAGCCAGGTGTGGTGGTGTGTGCCTGTAATCCCAGCTACTCTGGAGGCTAAGGCAGGAGAATTGCTTGAACCAGGGAGGCAGATGTTGCAGTGAGCTGAGATTGTGCCATTGCACTCTAGCCTGGGCAACAAGAGTGAGACTCCATCTTAAAAAAAAAAAAAAAGACTTTGGGGGACTGTTGGGAAGGCATGACTGGTTTTGAAATGTGAAGATATGAGATTTGGCAGGGGCCCAGGGCAAAACGATGTGGTTTGGCTCTGTGTTCCCACCCAAATCTCATCTTGAATCGTATTCCCATAATTCCCATGTGTTGTTGAAGGGACCTTGGAGGGAGATAATTGAATCATGGGGGGTAATTTCCCCCATACTGTTCTTATTGTAATGAATAAGTCTCATGAGATCTGATGGTTTGATCAGGGTTTCCGCTTTTGCATCTTCCTGATGCTGTGTTTGCCTGCTGCCATTCAAGTAAGACATGACTTGTTCCTCCTTGCCTTCCACCATGATGGTGAGGCTTCCCCAGCCATGTGGAACTGTAAGTCAAATTAAACCTCTTTCATTTGTAAATTGCCCAGTCTCTGATATGTCTTTATCAGCAGTGTGTAAAAGACTAATACAAATGCCTATAAATCCTACTTTTTCACTTGGAAATGGGGATGAGAATGTGGGGGTTCAGTCAGGATAGTGGGAGAAATTGTAAAATTATAGGAAATAACACAAACCCTCTTGGAAGGTATGGGGGTTTGCATAAAGTGTTTGGCTGAAGGTAGCTGAATTATCTTAAAAGCATAGGGCATAGATACATAAGAATGTAGAGTAGTTTAAACAGCTTGTTTACTCATGTGGTCCTAGGACCAACCTTCGATCAACTAGGAGAGCATAATTGCTGTGTACTCGGGAGGTCAGCAGTATCAACTACCCTCTAGTGGTGTTTACTCAAGGCCTTTGTCATTTTATCTATACTGAATAAATGCTAGTTTTGCTGGCAGATCACGGCCGTGGCTGCAACTATTTACAGCACCGTCATTGGTGTCTGTGAGTGGCCCAGACCGTCAGCCGTATTGACAGGCAAAGTATCTGTTTCAGTGTATGTCATTCATCTGTCATTGGGTCAGGTTTTGAGGGACAGACCCCCACAAAACATGAGGATATTATCTTTCTTTTTTTTTTTTTTTGAGACAGAGTCTTGCTCTGTCACCAGGCTGGAGTGCAGTGACACTATCTCAGCTCACTGCAACCTCTGCCTCCCGGGTTCAAGCAATTCCCCTGCCTTAGCCTTCTGAGTAGCAATACAGGCACGCACCACCACAGCTGGCTAATTTTTTATATTTTAGTAGAGATGGGGGTTTCACCATGTTGGCCAGGATGGTCTTGATCTCTTGACTTCATGATCCACCTGCCTCAGATTCCCAAAGTGCTGGTATCACAAGTGTGAGCCACCATGCCTGGCCAAAGATATTATCTTTCATACACTGTTGCTATGAGGATTGAGATATTGATTATAAAACATTTAGCACAGTGTCCAGTACAAGCTCTTGCCTAATAAATATTAGCTTTTTTTTTCTTTTTTTGACACAGTCTTATTCTGTCACCCAGGTTGGAGTGCAATTGTGTGATCATAGCTCACCGTATGTAGCCTTGACCTCCTGGGCTCAAGCAGTCCTCCCAACTAAGCCTCCCAAGTAGCTGGGACTATAGGCATGCACCACCACACCCAGCTAATTTTTAAATTTTTGGTAGAAAAAAGGTCTCACCATGTTACCCAGGCTGGTCTCCACCCCCTGACCTCAAATGACCTTCCTGCCTTGGCCTTTCAGCATGTTTGTAATGCTGAGATTACAAGCATGAGCCATCACACCTGTCTAAATTTTAGCATTTTTATTACTCAGATCAGCTATATCTGATCAGTATAACATGTGATCCACAAATTAGTGGCTTAAAATAAAAAAGCTGTTTTTGTTGTATTGTTTGTCCATTGTGTGTCAGCAGGAGGAATCTCACTATTGTAGTCATCCAGGAATCAAGACTGATGAAAGAGTCACAATTGTGACAATAAGGTTAACAAAGACAAGTCAAGATGAGGGAAATATAAAATAAATTTCAACTTTTATTTGATAATTTTACCTATGCAAGAAGCAGCTCAGAGAATGAAAGGACATCTGTTCTCCCACTATCTTCTCCATATATGTGTCCAAATGACCCTGAGTCCTGGTGTGGCCAAGGACACTGAAAATTATGTATCCATCATATCATATTGAATATAATTGTGTTTGCACCAAGATTTACTATGAGGAAAAGAGGAAAAAATTATATACTCCATAACTAGGACTTCGTGGTAGTTTATAAACACTATAGGGGTCAAACTTATGAAACGTCAGAAAGAAAGGGAAGAGGTTGCATGGGAAAGAACAGCAGTGCAGAGTCAGAAGGAGAACACAGCTGGGCCCTTTCTCTGTTATTCAAAAAAGATACTAGCAAGCCCCATGGCTTTTACTGGCATCTTGTTTTCCAGAGCCCCCTCCTGCTGTGCTAATGAGGTGAAAAGTGACCTGCTTGCTCATTTTCTGGCTCTTTACTAAGGAATGGTATGACATGCTGAAAAACTGACTGCTTGTGCTGTGTTGGAGATTAGATCATGCAATTCCTAACAGATGCTCTTAGAGTTTTTGAAATAGCAAATCTGAAATTTCAAAACTGCATGTGTTTCTCATCTAAAATGCTGAAGGTGTAACAACACTCCTGTTAATTTCGCACAGTTTCACATATGGCTCTTCAATACAATGTGTCACAAGCTACTGGCCTACAAATTACTCAGTTTGCTATTCCAATCAATAATTATGAGCTATGAAGAGCCCTCAAGCGTCCAATTTCATTTGATGACATATTTTGCACTCTGATCCTTCTATCATAAGAAAGTGTTTTTCTTTTGATGGCATTAATATCACCTTTTAAGATCAGTCTTGCAAACTCAGCCCTCAAGGGGCATTTTATATCTTTTGTTACCAGATGAAGGGCATCTCCTTGTTTACGACCTTGAGGTCAGTACAGACAGAATATACATGCATCTGTATTCCTGTGTTTTCATGTGCGGAAGTCAAAAAGACGGGAGACAAGTTTACTTAGAATTGAGAATAGCACAATTTTTCATGAATTATGCTTTAAAAAGAGTACAGTAAAATAGTTAGGGTTAGTATAAAACAAACAAAATTGTATGCATCGGAAAGGCAATGTCTTAATTGGGGCTATTAGAAAAATGTGACATAAATTCTGTGTCATTTAGTCATAAAAACAAAGGAAAGATTATCTTTATTGTACCAGGAGTAGTAACAATAGAAACATCAATAAGATTCCTGATTCAAGTAATAGAACTTTATAAGCAAGATTGAACAGAGCAGAGGCTTAAAAAATTATATTCAGCTTACTAGTGGGGGATCAGAGTTGTATTCTAGCTTTTAAATTAAAGAAAAATTTTAAAGAATGCACAAATTTAAATTCAGAGAGAAAGAGAACTGGTCTCTGAGAAGAGAAGAATGTATATCTTTAGATTCTTTGAGTGGGATTTCTTTTCCTTCTCACTCTTTCCAGTGTTACAAGTATTTGAGGCTTAAGCTCTCTTGGTCATCTAGGGAAGAAATATAAAATTTCTAGTGATAAAACTATTTGATTGTTTAGAGGAAAAAGCTGCTTACTGTGTCTCATGTCACACCATCCAAACTTCCGCACAAAATAGCAATAGATCTCATGAGAGTCCTTGCTGATGTACTTTGGAATCAAAAGGGAGCTGAACCCATGCCCAAAGACTAGCTAACCTCTTGAGCACCAAACACTTTTGGAGCACAGACTAGCTTCATTTGATCAGCAGCCTGATTCTTTTAGTTCAATGTCTTGCAAGAGGCATACCTGAGTGCTTAGTTCTTTTCTGACTTATTCAATTTAGATATACCTCTTCATGATACTTCCAGGAAACCTGTATACCCAAGGAAAAGAGAAAATTCTTCTACCTGTACTTGAGAATGAGAAGGAAACTAATACATCTTGAGGTCCCCAGAGCTGGTAATGTGGTTGGTTGGTTAATAAAACCCTTTTCCACAAACATAAAAAAACTAGTGTTTCTATTAAAATAAAAATTAATTCATTCACCACATGTGATAGTCAGGGAACCTGAGGTAAGTGGAATGTCAAATGGAGAATGGGTGTTGGCTAGAACATAAAATCTGCAAAGATGAAGTCCTCTTGGGGATATATCTGCTTGCTACAGATAGGTAAAGATTAGTAGATAACTAAGCAGTTTAAGCTAGGAACAAAAATTTGATTTGACAAAAGGAAATATAAGTAGCTCATATTTTATGGAATTTGGGGTGTTTTAGGCAGTGAAGACGTCAACATTTTCATAATTTATTGAACTCAGGTTAAGAGTATTGTATTATTTCAAGCCTGATATTATACAACCTAAGAAAAAATTGCCAAACCAATAATGGTGACTATGAAAAGAAAAAGAAAATTTTAAAGCAAAATGCTTAAAAAAAACCAAGATGGCCCTTTCTGAAAATATAAGAACTAGTATAAATACCTAAGGATAGCATCATATAGCCAAGTAAAATTGAATTTCTATCTAGAACAATGTTTCAGAAATATTTTACAGTCTAAGTAATCTAATGATATTAAAATAATATCACTATATGTAGATGATATACACATACGCAGACATACACACCCACAAATAGAGTACCTACCATCAAAGGCTAAAATCTCATCTATTTCTTATCTTAGGCTCATTATATACAACTTACCTAATGCAATCTTCTTCAATATCATAAACCTTTAAAAATAAAATTTAAAAAAGAGGACTATGGGAAAGCCAAAATTCTTGTTATTGCAATTATTGAACTTACACATACAAGATCTTTGAGGAGGGATTTGATCTTGACACAGAAACTTATCAATTGTGTTTCCATAGAAGTAATCATTTTAGGACTCTTGATGCTGAAAAATGTCCTCATTTCTGTCTTGTTGACCATGTACTCATCTCAGGTGCATTAATCCCCCCATCACATTTGGTAAATTGTTACATAGTTTTTTTTTTTCATTATAACAGAAACTTTTATTTGATGTATCTGGCTTCCATGGAGAAGACAAGATGAAAGAAATGTGTTGGAAAATGGTCTGGAGTAGGCATCAACTGTGTGAAGCTAAAGGACTAAACAAAGTCAAAGCTAAAGTTTCTTACAGATCTAATACTCTGATTTCTTTTTTTTTTAATTCTATCTTCTCTTTAAAGTAGATATTCTCATCCTTTGGGACAAGATATTTAACTATAGGTCATGTTCTTCAGCTAACAATATCAAATAGCATCACTTTGTTTTCAAATAGTCTCAAGTTCAGTCCCACCTTACAAGAGGCACTGGTACAATGTATTAATTAAACAATTCATGAACAAAAATTCAGGAAGATTCATAAAACCTAAAATTGATTCACATCATTTAACAAGTTGAGAGATGGGAGTGCACTATGTCCAGAAAGATTTGGTTCAAATATTTCAACGAGACATGATATTTGAAATATTTTCTATTTATTCACACCTAAATTGAACTCACCATGTGTGTTTCCTCAAAATATAAATTTGTTTATGTAAATGGATGCCCTATATGCAAAATACAGGCAGAAAAATTCTATTTAGGCATAAACATCCTATTTTATATGCCTAGGAAGATGTTATAAACTTACACATAAACCTAAAGTTTGAGCATCTGAAAGTGTTTAAAAAAATGGTGAAAAGTTCACCTACTAGCTAACTGGTAGGAAAAATGTGCTACGATTTTCTGCTCATATTCTAAGATAGCTTTAGATTGGTCTTAAATTGAATTTCAAATTATAAAATGATGACCGTAAGTCACTCATGAATTTCTTTAATTCCCCACCTAGATAGACTCACATATATACCTGGCCTGATGCTAGACAGGAGAGACTTTCCAATCTACACTAGTCTCTTTTCATCCTTTTATATAACTACAGATAATATCATTACTTCTTCCTTTGGCTCATCTGAAAATCATATGAGGTATTATTGTTTGGAAATTTAAACCATAATGGAACATATTATTCAGTTTTTCTTTCTTTTGAGTCATACTCTATTTGATTTTGACCATTGAACTAATATTTTCCAATGATTTTCCATTATTTCTTTTGTTAGCTGCCAGCCTATCAATAACTTCAAGTATATCAACTTACTGCAGGTACATTATGATCTTCCTTATTCAGAGCTTTTCTTCTTAAAATAATACCCTTCATTCTAATAATAGCATCGTATTTTGCAAATGTCTCAAATGTGGGAAAAAAAGTCCTAAAAGGGAATGAGTTCTGTTTTTCATTGCATTCCTATAATTACATTGCCTGCACGCTGCCTGACAAACTTATTAGGTGCTCAATGAATACCTAATATTTTGCACGTTTCACTGGCTTTGTAAAAATCAAATAAAAAATATCCTTCAGGACTTCAACAAAAATACGTAGGTTTTACTGATTTTGAAGTCATGTTTCATTTCCAAGCTACATTACTATTTGTGCATTTCACTCAGCTTTAATTAAAGTTAAAACCAAAATACCTTTACACCTATACAAAAGTTATCCTGGACTCTACTATCAAAGAAAGACTCAAAAGTATAAGAGAACAAGTATAAAAAATATAAGAGAAGGAAAATGGAACATTAAACAGGAATTATTTTATTTTAATTTTCTACTATCAAGAATTTCCAGACTTTTTTTGTGGCGACAGGATGAGAAGGAGTAATGGAGATATGCAGCTAATTATGAGGACACAGAATAAATCTGCATATGAAACATGTAATACCTTGAGCAAGCAATTTTGCAATAAGATAAAATACTCACAATGTTTCCTGTAAACACTGTCACATCGAAAGCCTATTTCATTTGAAGCTTATTTCTGAAAGAATCACCAAGAAATATTCTGTTACTATCAGAAGTAACTTTGACAAATCTTTCAATAAATTTAATAAATTACTTCTAATTTATTACCCCTGACTTTACCTATAATTATTATTCTTATAATTAAATTAATAGTCTAAAGGATTCTGTGATAATAGTGGCATTTTTGTATGGCAACCAATGATTGATGATCAAATGCAAAGCAAACTAGTAATTTATCTCAGCAAATTATCCACTATACACACATTTCAAGGCATCACAACTTACTTGCTGTAACTCAAAGGATTATCTTTTGACAAGCTTTCAGTTGTGTTTCCTTAATTAAAGGACGCCTAACACAATACAGGTTAACTCTTCCAATCTAGATGCTGGTAGATATATCCTGGGATTTGCCACCAGCAAAGGAGACTATATGCCTTCTTCATTTGCATGCAGCCTGGTAGAAGAAACTAAAAAAGCCTGTGCATGAAGAAGTAGAGGGACTCCTAGTACTGTATACTGATGGCTATGGAGAAATGTGTGTGCCTAAACTTTCCTAGGGAGCAGAACAGAAAGACTTGACAATTCTGAAGCACACTCTTTATTATTGAGTGACATATTTAATTTCCAGTGAAAGCACTGACACAGTTTTTCCAACTTGTGATTTGCTGAATGGTTTACAATTGTTTTGCCCATCTGAAGAAATCTGTAACATAATATTTATTTACTTTTTAAATTAATTTACTTTTTATTTATTTAATTTTTAGAAACAGAGTGTCACTTTGTCACCCAGGCTGGAGGGCAGTAGCACTATCATAGCTCACTGTAGCCTCAAACTCATGGGCAGAAGGAATTCTCTCACCTCAGCTTCCTGAGTAGCTGGGACTACAGGCACACACAACACCTGGCTAATTGTTTTAATTTTTTATAGAGATGGCATCTTGCTATGTTGCCTAGGCTGGTCTCAAACTCCTAGCCTCAAGCAATCCTCTTGTGTTGGCCTCCCAAAGTGCTGTAATTATAAGTGTGAGCCACCTCGGCCAGCCAACATAATGTTGATTTATATGAAAGAGTTTTGTGTGATGACAAAGATAATAGATGAGTCGGAGAAGTGAACATATAGATGTATCTTCAGCCACAGAGGGTAACAGAAGAAGCATTTAACTGTACTTGTACTAAAATACAAACAACTTTTCAGCTGAAAAAGTGCTTTTAAGCTTTCTACATACATTTATCTGTTCACTTAGTCAACAAACTGACGTAATCTTAATCCATTCCCTCTACTGCTGACCCACTAAGCATCCCCTCTTATAAAAGGCAAAGCCAGCTAGAAGCATTTAAATGAAACTGCCTTTAGAAGCCTCCAATTCCTATTAGACAGAGAAATGAACAAGATGAAGAAGGAAGGTTAGGGTTTTTTTACAATGAAAACTTTTTTGCATATCATTTTTTAAAAGGCCTTACAAAACTGCATCCTATCAGCACATTTCCAAAACTTTCACTCAAATAATAGTAGTGACATTTTCCTTACATTGCTCAAGTTTGAAGAAATCCCAAAATAGCTCAGCACTAAACACAGACGATCTGCCAAATTCCAAATCTGCAGCCCCAACAACACTCGAAGATAAGTTATTTTAAATATTTTACACACAACTAGCATGGTTACCCACTGCTTTTTGAAGCAATTTGTAAAGCTTAATAGAAGATGATCTTGGATGAAGTTCCACTGTAACACAGTTGAGCATTTCTGCTCCTTGAGAAAAGTGGTGTTCAGGGAAGGATGACATTATATTCTGGAATTAAACTCGAGAAGGAATTGGTTTTATTTTTGGTTAATACAATTCACTACATCCTCTGGCATTTTCATCTGTCAGAGAGTAAGAAAGATAAAGAGTAAATCAACATTTTGCTTTACTTTTATTCAACTCCCAGTTATCCCAAAATGAATACCAGAACCCTGTTCTTCTGGCCTTTAAACAATTATACTTCTCATTAAAGTGGTGATATTTGGAAGACAAACCTCATTTTCATCAGCAAATGTCTTCTGAGTGGTCTTTGAGTAACTGCTAAGTAATTCCCACAAAGTCTTGTAAGAATGCTCTGAAATTATGCTGAAAACAGAGTTAAGTGTTTGGGAATAGAGTGAAGGTGGAGGTAACCTGGAGGCATTCTTGACTACTATTATTCTTTTTAAAAATTATTTTAACTCTTATTTTAGATTCAGGGGTACACGTGTAAGTTTGTTACATGGGTAAATTGCCTGACACTGAGGTTTGGGGTAAGACTGATTCTGTAGCCCTTGTACATATGAAAAAATGCTCAACATCACTAATCATTAGAGAAATGTGAATCAAAACCACAATGAGATACTATCTCAGACCAGACAGAGTGGCTGTTATTAAAAGATCAAGAAATAACAGACATCGTTGAGGTTGCAGAGAAAAGAGAACACCTAACCTACCAAATGTCTGGACTTAGTCTAGCCTACCTTAAGTGTGCTTAGCACACTTATAGTAACCTATAGTTGGGCAAAATTATCTATCACAAGGCCTATGTTATAATAAAGTGTTGAATATCTCATGTATTTTATTGGACACTCTACTGAAAGTGAAAACAAAATGGTTGTATGAATCACTTGTAGTAGTTTCTACTGAATACATATCACTTTTGTACCATTGTAAAGTCAAAAAATTGTAAGGCAAGTCATTGTAAGTCAGAAACCATCTTTACTCTGCTAAATTCAAAAGCTATATTCTTCTCCTTCACTTTGTTCTTCTTTTTATTCCTTAAACTTTCCTTCTCTGTCATACTTAAACTAGTAACAAACCTTTTCATACCTTTTATATATGAGTTTGGTTGGCCTTCTCCTTGATGTTTTCTTACCTAAATGTTATCTTCCTTCCTCTTTTACTAGTTACTTTGCTCAAAAAACTCTATTCCAAGTAGGCCAAACTGAGTGCTTTAGGGCAGTGTCCTCTGGACAGACAAGTTTCCCAAGACTTATGATCCCAACTGTAAGTACAGGGATTTCCCAAAACCACTCTCAAGTTTGACAATTCACTAGGGAGACTCACAGAACTCATTGAAAGCTATTATGCTCACAGTCATGCTTATTACAAAGAAAGATTACAAATTAGAACCAGCCAAAGGAAGAGACACCAAAGTCAGAGTCTGGGAGGGTTCCAAAGGCAAAGCTTCTGTTGTTTTCCAGCATCAATATGTGACCATACACATGGAGGACTGCTAACCAGAGAAGCTCGGCTGAGCTGAGCTGAGCTGTCCAGAGAGTTTATTGAGGCTTCATATTTAGGCATGATTAATTAATTAATTACCTACATATTTGAACTCCATCTGCAGCTCCCCACCAACTTTTAGATTAAGATGATATAATGTGGTTCATAGTTGCTATCCTAAACTATATGGTTGGTCTTTATGGTGTGGCCAGGCCCCACTCTAAGACTACTGAGTGTGATAATCCTCACCAAGAATCATCTTATTAGCATAAAATAGGTATAGTTTCAGGGGTCCACCTTAGATAATGAAGATATTTCCATAACTCTGAAAATTCTAAGTGTTTAGAGGCTGCCATCTAGCAGCTGAGGACAAACTCCAGACTTATATTTGGGTGAGGCCAAACTCTTCACTGCACACACTTCATTGAGGCCCTCTTCTCATCATCCTTCAACTGTCTATATTCATTTCTATTGTGTCAACTGATACTAATAAATGATTAATCATTTGAATTTTACCTTTCCAGAATTTCATCTTTGTGCATCTGTTTCCTCATTCATAGCAAAACCAAATATTTTCAAAGTTTATTTCTGTGGTAAAACAATATGATAATGGTTGTGAGGTGCTTTGTAAATTGCAAAACATTATTATTCATCTTTCCAGAAATGCCTAATAAATGACTCTCAAATCTATATCCCAGAGTCCTCTCCTGGGCTTTATTTTCAAGTATCTGTTGGGCATTTTTACCTATGTAACTCAGTGACATCCTTAGATCTGTACTTTCAAAGTCAAACTCATTATCTTTCTTCTAAATCCTTTCTCTCATGGGTTTCTCTCTCTGTTAATGACAACATTCTCATCAAAGTTGGAACCTGGAGTCATTTTTTTTTTCTCTCCTTTTGGTTTCATTTCTAATCAGTTGCTTACATTCAATACAATCTGTCTCCATGCTGCATGTAGCTGTGTTTCAAATCTCCTTATCTTTCATTTGAACCAACATAATAGACTTGTTTATTCCCGTGCTATCTCCCTCTAACTTTGACCAATAAATGGACGAAGTTAGAGGGAGATAACTTGGATTTCTAAAATAAGGTTAAGATTATACTCTTTAGCATCTCAAAATTCTTCAAGAGCTCCCTGGTGAATTAAGAAGTAATAATCCTTTACAGTTGCATAATAATGTTTTGCAATTTACAAAGCACCTCACAATCATTACCATATTGTTTTACCACAGAAATAAACTTTGAAAATACTTGGTTTTGCTATGAATGAGGAAACTGAGATGCACAAAGATGAAATTCTGGAATGTTTCGGTAACTGACAGAGATTTACATCTTATCTATTATATTCAAATCCACTCTTCTCTGAGACAGAGGTATATTCCTCATGTAGTCATCCAGTGTATTCTATTGCAAAGGCATGCTGTACCTTTTTGATCTTATGTGCCATCGCCAACACCCACTAATTCTATATTTTAGTTAAATTCTACTACTCACATATCTCAGTTTTGAATCACTGCAATTTTATTTTTTGTGCGAAATCTACTCTACCTCTCCCTTTTGTTATCCTATACATTCTCCCAATTCTTCATAAAATCTTTACTGATATTGAGTCTATGTGATCTCTTCTTCATGCTTTTTATTTTTTTGTGTATTATTTTCTTATGTCCACAAGCTTGAAGGTGTTTGTATTCCCAAGTGATGAGTACACATGGGACCTTTCACAGATATGCCACTCAGGACACAAATATTGAATGGACGTATTTCATTTATTTCCATACCATGTTTCAAAGAGTATGAGAATTCCTATGATGGGTTTGACCTAAGCATTCTATATTTGGCAGAAGAAAAAAAAAACAGATGTATGTTAAAGAAAAAAAAATTCTGAGATTTTTTTCAATTGGTAGAAAAATTTTATATAGGACTATTGCAGTAGATGTCAAGACTACTGGCCTAGTGCGGTGGCTCATGCCTGTAATCCCAGCACTTTGGAAGGCCGAGTCCAGCAAATCACTTGAGGCCAGGATTTTGAGACCAGCCTGACCAATATGGTGAAACCGCCCCTCTACTTAAAAAAAAGAACGAAATAGTGGGGTGTGCCACCATGTGTCTGTAATCCCAACTACTCAGGAGGCTGAGGCACGAGAATTGCTTGAACCTTGGAGGTGGAGGTTGCAGTGAGTTGAGAGCCACTGCACTCCAGCCTAGGCAACAGAGCAAGACTCTGTCTCAAAAAAAAGGAAAAAAAAAAGATGTCAAGACTATTGCAATAGAGTAGAGATATCAACTCAACTCTCAATACAGTAAAAACAGCTGGAGATTTATAGCTGTAGGAGAGGAAAGGGTTTTTTTTTTTTTTAACCTATCATAAGGTTTATTGTGGAGGCCCCTATAACAAAGGACAGATTAACAAGAGAAAAGCATACAAATTTACTTAATATAAGTTTTACGTGACAAAGGAGTCTTTATAAATAAAGGGCCAAAGAAACAGGTAAACTTGTGTATTTTTATGCTTATGTTCGATGAAAAGTGGATAGTCATAGAGAAACATGATTGGAGGACAAAAGGATATGACCTAATGGTAATAAACTGGGGGAAATTTAGCAAAGCCTGTTTGTTCAGATTTTCCTCTGGGTCCCTGTGCCTTCACAGATAAGGGTGTTTCTTTCCTCCTGGGATAAGGAGGGCAACACTTCAATGAGGATTTTATGACCTGCTTTAGGGGAGAAGGACAAAGGGAAAGGTGAGAGGGAACTTCTGCTTCTGCTTTTTTTCTCAAAATGCCAAGGTTCAGTATTTTGGGGTAGCATGTCCTGAACCCTATCATAGCTAAGAAGAAGTGGAAGAGTGTCAGTGGATGGAAAATTACCAAGAGGGGGTCATCGGGGTAGGGGTGTTCTTGCTAACCAATTAGGATTCCTGCTGAAGGAGGCGGGGGGCATCAGATATCAAGGGTAGGGGTATTCTTGCTAACCTGACTTAGCAGAATTCTTGCTGCAACTGAACTAAGGAGGTCAAACAAAGAGCTCAAGGAAAAGGCTTAGTTGCAAAGAAGGCTCAAAGGAGTCTGTCTAAAATTTGATCAAGTAGAGAGTTTTTGTCACATGGTAGGTAAGACAGGAGAGAATAATAGTTTTCTTACTCTGAACAGCTACATTTCCCTTAGTTTCCCATTTGAATTAATGACTAATGAATTTTGCCTAATTTATTTTAGTCCGTTTGTATTTTTATCTCATCTACACTAAGGAGATATTATCAGTTTTATGTGAGGCAACTTAACCTCTCATGGCTATCAAGGGATGCACAGTCAAATACTATACCAAGCTTGGATATCTGCCCTATGTATAGTGTCCATATGTTTCTTCATATTAATCTCACTTCTTCTCCCAGAGTTTGCTTTTCATAGCCAAAGAAGTCTCACACAATATCTCTCCCTATTCTCTTTTTCTGCATTGTGTTTACAACCTTTCTTTAGACTTTTTCTGTTTCAATTCTAGCTGTCTCACACTGTGACAATTAAAGCTGTAAACATTTTTTTTTCCAGATGGCAAAGCACGAAGATAGTTCTAAAGTTTGAGATAATATTTTATATGTTCTTTTCAATATGACACATGCCAGTGATTGATAATTTAGTCATATTCTTGATCAAGTCAAATTCTAAACTTTTATCTTTTAGACTGAAGTCTTAAGTGATAGCTTGGAGTTAATAATTCTATGCAGATTAGTTTTTCATGTTTACTAAATTTTACTCCCCTTATACAAAAGTAATCTGCTATTTGTATAGCACTCAAAATTCTATGAGGATTATTACCTACTATACTTCACTAAATTAATACAAATTTTATTTACCCATTTACCAGGTCATATTTCCTGATACTTTAGTTATATAAAAAGATTTTTCCTTTTTGAAATTTTAAGTTGATATTTTTAAAGAATTACCTTCACTTTTCCATTTACTAACACTTATTGTTTTAATTTAATTTTATAATTTCTAAATTCAAGTATACCTGGAAGCACAGAGAATAACGTTCATAATATTTATCCAACATCAAGAATTTTTTAAAAGTTTTGTCATATTACCTTTATTTTTATCAAGGAATAAAAAAGTATGGAATCAGGTTACATCTCTTTGTTTTCCTCCTAAAACATGCCCCCTCATTGCTTTCCCAGATACAATCGCTTGTTAAAATTATTTTTCATGGAGTATAAAAAGACAGTCTTGGTAATTTAACACTATCCAGTTTTTCTGGGCCGGACGATCATCTCTAGACAAGCCTGCTGTATTCCTATCCCTACCAAAATTCCCATGGTTTTCCGGAAAGACAAATGAACCTTTTGAAATTGTGGGCACATAATAGTGTTTGATTTTCATGTGTCCCATGATTTCACCTCCTGCTTCAGCTTTCACATTATAATTAACCAACCATCTCCAGGGTATACATATTTAAGAAAATGAAATGTCATTCTAGTTCAGTCTATGTGACAGCAGAAAACTTACCTCTAAATTATAATCAACAGCAGGTCACATGCTGAGAGAATGACAGGGGGGCAAAGACTATAAGTATATTAGATTGTCACAAAATTTATCTCTTTCAAGCTAAATTAGCTTCAGCAATAATCATTTAAGATATCAAAAGTATCTTTATAAAATGTGTTTTCAATAACTGCTCTGATTCCTGTTAAGAGTTACAAGTATAGTAATAATGATTCATGTCAGAAATATATACTTGAAAATTTAAAAATTAATCAATGTTTATTACTTTTATTCCCTATACTTTCTTTTCAATAAGAGTAAACAGTGAAAATAAGACATGCCACAGGAAGTCTAGAGTCAGGGATTACCTCTATTTAGTCACAAATTTCTGCAATATCACAGCCTAGCTCATCAGTTACTGCAACTATTCAGGGAACCATTATATTGTGGGAAGTAATAAACAGAGGTCAGAAAAACAAATTTGTATATTATAGGAGTTTACTCATTATGATCTAATAACAATTGTTAACCATAATAATACCATGATTACACAGAGGCTTGGAAAATGTGGATCCACCAATGCCCATCCAGAGTTACCCCACAATTACATCAACAAAAACAAATGAAGGAACAGAAAATGAAATACCACATGTTCTCACTTACAAGTGGGAGCTAAATGATGAGAACACATGGACATAGAGAGGGGAACAACAGACACTGAGGCCTATTGGAGGGTGAAGGGTGGGAGGAAGGAGAGGATAAGGAAAATAAACTAATGAGTACTATGCTTAATAACTGGGTGATGAAATACTCTGTACAACAAACTCCCATCACACAAGTTTACCTATGTAACAAACCTGCACATTTCCCACTGAACTTGAAATAAAAGTTAAAAAAGTAAATTAAAATTAAAAGAAGAAACAAATGCAATGTGTAAAATAGGAAATGTAAATGTGACGCTGAGCAATCTACACTGAATTCTGGTTTCTGAAGGTCACTTTGTTTTATAAACAAATTTTAATGCTATAAGCCCCCTGAAAAGGTAAAACCACAGTTTTTTAATTGTCAAGATGACTCCTACACTACATTAATGAATTGACAATTTAAAAAGCATTCCTATTGTGTCTAAAACCTTCCCTGTACAATTTCTCTATTGGCTTCATCTAGGTGATTTGTAGACTCAATATAGAAGCTACCTCAGTAAACTTTTGGGATGACAAACCAGAACTTAATCTGAACATTTTTTAATACACAAACCACTGAGCTAGGTGCAAGGGACGCAAGAATGAATAACAGACATGTGGCTTAAAAGTTAAGAGGAAAAAAGGTATTTAAAACGATCAGTAAAATCCCAATATGACAAAAGGTTTTAGCAGCCGAATATACTAAGTGCAGTGAAAATGAATCCTGGTGATGTGGAAAATTCTGGCACATTTTCATCTTATTTAACATGTGTGGACTTTGGGAGTACAAAAGAAGGATTTTCAAATATAAGAAGTAACAAAGTTGAATGATCCTTATATATTAAACAAATGTCATTCATTTTAAGAGAACTCTGCTTTTGATTACATAATTTCTCTGGAATCTTCTCAATAGCTCGATTAAAGAGTGACACATGTCAGATCACTTTGTTGCAATCACCCACCTGTACTCTGAAATGTGAATCTTTTATTTAATCTGTCCAAGATCCACAAATCTTTACTTCTACTTTCTTTATTATTAGTATTAACTTTCAATCTATAAACTATCAGCATAAAGTGACCTAATTTCAAACAGATTGGTAAGTCACTTTTGTACATTCACTTTTCTAAGTGGTGAAAAGGTTTCTTAGTCTATTTACTGTGCATAAAGTTTTAAAAGTATTTTATATAGAAATCCCTTGGCAACAGTAGATGTTAATGTAATATACTTCCCAAGGAGTCAAATGTAGAACAGAGTGTGATTGAGTGCTTTTCATAAGTTTCAATGTGAGATCAAGAAAATAGAAGAGTTAAATATAGAGGAATTATCTATTATTTTTAGTATTTGTCTCTACAATTCCATAGACATATATATGTATATTCCATAGACATAGATATATGTGTATGTGTGTGTGTATATATACACAATTCCATAGACATAGACATATAGTTTTTAAATTTACAGATTATTTTTATACATCATTGCAAGTTTTATTTTTCTGAAATGTAACATTACATGTTTGCATTTAAGCAATATTGGTCTGTTACTTATTTTAGTTTTCATCTTTGATCTGTTGTTTACAAATTCGACAGTAAGAAACATAAAAGTCCTAAATAGAGAAAAAAGAAAAATACCACAAATTCAAAACCTAGAGAGAAAACCAGGAGTAGCATGTGGGTGGAGGGAAGGAGAGATGGGGAAGTGTCAACAAGCAAATAAAAAAAAACTTATTTATTAAACAAAAGAGAAGATTATAATTGGAAAACTTATGGTCATTTTTTAAAGACTATATGTTAACTTTGAGTCATATTTTTTTGAGGATGTATTCTATGGATATAATGGGACAAATGAATAAATATATATGAAAAGGATATTCACAGTAAGTTGTTTTTATTACTAAAATACTGAAAAAATCCAAATATCCAAGTGTAGGATGTGATTTTTTTAAATAAATTTTAAGACAGGGCCTCACTCTATCACCTGGGCTCTAGTGCAGTGGCATAATCAGGGCTCCCTGAAGCCTCGTCCTCCTGGGCTCAAAGCATCCTCCCATCTTAGCCTCCCAAGCAGCTGGGACTACAGGTGTTCACCATCATGCCAGGCAAATTTTTTAAATTGTTTATAGAGACAGGTTCTCGCTATGTTGTCCAGGCTCTTGGGCTCGAGAGATCCTCCTGCCTTGACCTCCCAAAGAGCTGAGATTACAGGTGCGAGCCACCATGCCCAGCCAGGATGTGCTTTTTTAAAAGTATGCTTCAAGCATATGAAGGAATGAAGGCAATGTTTGAAAAGGAACTTCCACTTATTAACCTGAATGAATATTCATGACAAATTTTGCAGGGAGAAAAACAAATTACAAAACAGTATGTAAAGTAGGTCCCCATTTCATAAAGATAAGGCATATATATATATTTGTATTGCATAAGTCTAGAAAAACAAAAATAAAAAATTTAATGATGTTATCTCTTGTTCATACAATTATGTAAAATTTTCCCTTTTCTTTTAGTTTAAATAAGTTTTTCAGGTTAATTTTTATAACAAACGGGTTAATTACTTAAAAATAGTTTTAAACATGTTCTTGATAGCGCAGCTGCTGGAAAGAAAATGCAAATGTGGTAAGGAATTAGTCTAAGATTTCAATTCCATTACAGATATAAAAAATGTAATGCATTAAGTGAGTGTGTGTCGATTAGATATACATGAAGTAAAGCTTCTCTGGACACTAGAAATCAGATAGAGGCCAATAAGGAAATTCTCAATTTCTTCAAATATTGAAATAAATAAAACAATCCACTGTTTCAAGCTATGAACACTAGGATCATGCAGATATTGACTATGAGCCCGACTCCATGAAACAGTTGGACAGTGATTTCAATTTAATAAGCAGGTGCCAGAAAGTATGAGAACTGAGGGTTCAGTAATAAGCAGGTTCTTGCTGTCCCTCTTTAACAGCCAAACATGACTTTCCAAGCCGTACATCTATGACATCTTTTGATATGCAGGGCACATTTTAAAAGAAATGCCGCCTAGTTAGGTGAGAAAATATGGATCCCAATTACCTGTTTATTCAGTGGTAGTATCCAACATGTTTTAAGAGGTCTCAGATCATGAAATGTATAGTATAAAAGCCAGTGCCCTTGCCAGCAGACAGGTATTGCTTGTCAAACTTTTGCAGAGGAAGGATCAAAATATACTATTTTTTTTTGTCCCTTCTCTAAAGGTTCTACTTCACAAACTGTTGCCACAGAATCTTACCTGTAATCTTAACTACGATTTGTCTCTACTTAGGGGTTTAATAAATGACTGTCTTAAAGCACAGGAGGGAAGTATAATCTGATCTATTCTAATGAATTCTGACAACTTTATGTTTCAATTAGATAAAAAAAAGTACCTTTTTCATGAACCTACATGTTATTTTTCATTTTTAAAACATAAAATTAATAATCAGTATATAAAATTCTGAAATACACATCAAAAATTATAAAGAAAAAAGCCATTATTCTTAACACTTACACCCAAAGAAGATTATGATGATGACGATAACAAAAACATTAGTGATGGTGATAATAATGACATAGGAGCTAAAATACATTATGCATTTCCATTATCCTGGTGCTATGCTCAGTGTTTTATGTACATATTTTTACTGATAATATTTTTAAAAAATCCTGATACTGTTAAAGCAGTAAGGAAGACTGTATTCTGGGCCACTATAAATGGTGTTAAGACTGTTATAATAATGGAGAGACATCAGGCTCAACTCCAAATATGGCAAAGACAACTGGGTACTTATAGCTAGTGAGTAGAATGAAGAGTTCAGTGGATGAAAAATTACTTAGAGAAGACATCAAGGCTAGAGGGTTTCTTGCAACATGGGCCTAACGTGATTTTTCCCGAAGGTAGGCCAAAAATTGTACAATAAAAGTAGGGATGAGGATTTAGATCAGATATTGAGGATGATCAGATGCCAAGGGTAGGAGAATAAGGTCAGAAAGGTGCCCATCATAAAGGTCACACTGAAACTTCTGTGACAAAACACAGGTTAACAAGAGAAAAAATAAAACATTTAGTTATTTTAAAGTTTTATGTGACATGGAGGGTTTCAGAATGAAGACCCAAAGGAGGGCTGTCCATTTTTAGGCTTAGATTTGATGGAGGAGACAACCATGTGAAAATGTGATTGGACAAAAATGGAAAGATCTAACAGTAATAGACTTAATGTGGAAACCCAGCAATATCTAACTGTTCAGAATCTTCTTTGCCTCTGTGTTGTAGCATTTCTTCCTCCTGGGTGTAGAACCTCTCTGGAATGAAGGCCTTAAGACCTACTCTCAAACAAGAACAGGTCAGATAATCTCTTTACGGCCAGCTCCTAGGCCAAAAAGTGGGTGAAGGTGAGGATAATATTCCTAAACTTATGGCTTGCTTTGGGGAAAAGAGGTTCTAGTTTCTATGACCTGACTTGGGAATGACAAATTCTGGTTTATATTACTTACTTCAGGAGGAAATGAGAGTTAAGGGCAGGAGAAGGTCAGACATACCTTGTTTCTGAGGATGTTTCTGAGAACTTTCAATGTTCTTTAGTTTAAAGTTCAGCATGCCAAAGCACCATACTTTGGGTTATCATTTTCTGTGCCTCAACAGGAGGATGCTTGCTAAATTGACCTTGAAAGATAATCACTATAATGAGACTAGGCAGGCCAAAGACAGGGACCAAAAATGAGACCTAGAGAAAAAGAAGGCTCAAAAGAACTTGAACAAAGTTTGGTTGAGGAGAGTCTTTGTGAAAATACAGCTATTGTTATCCCATTTTACACACAAGAGACCTTAAGCCTAGAAAGTTGATTTTTAATCAGAAGAGGGTAGAAGCTTTGAGTAGAGTAATGGATATGTCCCAGTGCAATACTTTCAAAGATGATGGCACAAACAAATTTAAGTGTTTTTTTTTTCTTTTATTCCTTTTTTTTTTTTTTTTTTTAAAGACACGATGTTGCCCAGGCTGAAGTGCAGTGTTGTGATCACTGTTCAGTGCAGCCTTGACAACCTGGGCTCAAGCAATCCTCCTGCCTCAGCCTCCCTAGTAGCCCTAGTAGCTAGGACCATAGGCATGCACACCCATACCCAGCTAATTTTTTTTAAAAATTTTCTGTAGAGACAGGATTCCGCCATGTTGCCCAAGCTAGTCTCAAACTCCTGGACTCAAGTGATTCACCCACTTTGTCTTCCTAAATTGTTGGGATTACAGGCTTTAGCCACTGTGCCTGGCCAAATTTAAAAGTTTAACAAAGGTTGAGCCAGTAATTATTTGCAGAGGTGAAATTACACTTTTGCTTTCTAACTCTCAATCATGAGCTTGTAGGAGGAAAGGGATTTCTTTCCTCATCAATTACAAGATTCACGGTGAAAACATATAACAAAGCACAGATAACAATAGAAAAGCATACAAATTTATCTAATAAAAGTTTTATATGACACAGGAGACTTCAGAAATGAATACTCAAAGAAACAAGGAAATCTGTGTGCTTTTATGCTTAGGTTTGATGAAAAGTGGCAGTGGCAGGGAAGTATTAGACAAAAGGGGCTATGACCTAAAGGTGATAAACTTGAGGAAACTTAACAACTTAGCAAGGCCTATTTGTTCAGATTCTCCCTGGCATCTTGGTGACTTTGGATCCTTTCTATAGGGAGAGTCTCTCTGGAATGAAGATCTTATGACCTACGTTAGAAGAAGGTCAGATAATTACATTATAGCCTGCTTCATGGAAGAAAGGTGGGAGAATTTCAGAGAGACCTTTCTATTCCACTCTTTTCTCAAAGGCTAAGGTGCCATATTTTAGGGTAGCATGCCCTGAACCCCATGAACCCCATCAAGAGAAGAAAGTGTACCCCGATTCCCACTACCAGTGTGTATTCATACATCTATTCACACATGCACACACACACAAACACACACACACACACACATATATATAATATATAATTCTTTTAAAGAAGCATGTGGTCTCAATTCCTACTGCAAACTCCAAATTATTTTACTATTGGTCATTTCAAAACCAATGGCCACAGTAAGAATCTCCATGCAGCTATCTGTACTTTGCCAAGATACCGCAGTTTATTTTCAAGATTGCTGTCCTTCTACTTGGAATCTATTCTCCCCATACATGCCTCCCCACACGTGCCTACTTTTGAAAATTATTCAAAATACATAAATAAGAAAATCTCTGGGCTTTTTCTAAATTTAGTAACCCCTTTTCACAAATGTTTACACAATTTATTCAAATGATATCACATCATCTGTAATAACATCCAAGAAAATAAAACATAGTAGAAGTTCAGAAAGTTGTGCTGGTTATGAAGACCTTGTTCTCGAAGTGTTAAGAGTTTAAGGTACAGCTCCAGTCATTTCCAGGGTCAAGTTAATAAATTCTTCTTTATTTTTTAATGCATCAGGGCCTGTACTTAAATTGTTCCACTGTTCCCTATTGTCCTGACACCCACATCTATACTCAACCATTTTGTTTAAATGAAAGAGCATGTTTAACTTTGTAATACAAAGCACAGCTGAATCATTGACACTTCAATCAGGCTTTTTTATACTGAAATCACAGTAGGATATCCCTTTTACTGAGAATGTATTGACACTAAAGTAGAATTGATTTCAAACTAAAAATGAAAGGCAAAACACATCAATATGTGTGTGTATCTGCATAACAATCCAGTGTAATTTTATTATAACTGTGTTTACGGTATAGAGAACTCAAGGTTAGATCTGTATCCGACTTGTCTATTTCTAGTTTTAGAAATTAGAGAAATAAAAAAGAAATTAAGACAACTTTATTTATGGAAAAGTTTAGTAACTCATCTTCTAGGAGAGTATGCAGTGAGGAGAATGTCTTAAATTTGTAAAGCACTTTGTTCCCCCTTACCCAGAGAGTTGTTTATTGTTACAAATATTTGAAAGTTTGCTGGAGGTTATTTTGATTGTCAGAATAGGGACAGACACTTTTATCAATAGCACAGTTGGAAGAGTTCATCAGATACAGGATTCTCAGGTTCTCTGAGTTAGAAGTTAAAACAAGATTTCAAAACTAGGTTTCTCCTTTGGCAATAAAATAAGCATGTAGATAAATAAATGAGACATAAAATTAATATGTAGAGCATGGCAGCAAGATCAAATTAAGATTTATGATTCAGTGTGGTAAAGCAAAGAAAATAAAAAATTAATTAGTTAATCTGACTAATTAATTTTATTGCCCTTTGTCTGAAGTCAACACCCTATTTTCTAAGGGAAAGACTAGGAATATGAGAAGCTTCCCAATAAGTTTAAGTCCTGTATTTTGGCTTGCTATCTGAAACAGCAAGATTGGATGTTTCTTAAGCATATTCAAAGCTTCGTTTGCTTAGCCTGAATGCCGCATAAAATGCCACACAAGTCTATGAGTTGGTGAGGGATGCATTGGCTTTTGTCCACTAATAAAGTTGAAACAAATCATGTTGTTGCCTCAAATGTTTCCTGGGCCAGATGAAAACAGGGACTCCTACATAATGCATATGTTCCAATAACTGCAGAAAATGAAATTAAAAAAAAATCTGTAGTTTGCGAGAGCACAGTGCTCATAGCACAAAAATGCCAGTATGAGCAAGAAAAATAAAAACAGACTTACAAATGAGTATATTTACATGCCGAAAAAGAAGAGAATTTAAATAACCAAAGCAGGTGAGCTGGTTTCACAAAGAGAACATTATGTTATTTAACAGAAGGCATTACTAATTCTACAGTTAAATATATGGTGAAAGGTGAAGGGAAATCAGAGAAGCAACCTGCAACTGTCTGTAACAGAAAGGACTCCCTAGGCAAAGCCCTTAAAGGGTCTAAAACCTGCAGCCACAACTTAAGTAACCATAAGAAGTCTTACTTTGAGGATGTGAGTCTGCAAAAATCAAAGAAAAAATTCTTCCAACATTTCTGAAATTAGCTTGAATTTGCTAATTGCAAACAGACAAGAAGAAGGAAGACTGTTGAATTGATTTATAATTCTTGCAAAGGCTCCCCTTTATCTATAAAAAAAGCAGAAGATGAAACAGTGGTATCTATGTATTTAACAAAATTTAGTGTATAAATAGTTTTGGCACCTAGAAATAACTGATCAGATAATTACATGAAGTCATGTTATTAAACATGATAGAATCTGACTAATGAAGATATATAACAAAAATATATTTTCATCAAAAAAATAATTTTTAAGTGAATATATATTATTCAGAAACTGTAGGCTTTAGAATGCTAATGAAAAAGCCTTGACTCCCTAGCTATTTACATGGCTTTCAGCTCTCCAAAACCAGTGACCTAGTCGAATTAATGTTGGCCTCAACTTAAAAGTCATCTGTATAAATAAATAATGTACATCCTCTGCATACTTTTTGCTTGAGCAGTTTCAGTGCAGACGTCTGCTGGAATTATGAGAAGCTTCCAAAGAGATTAAACTAAGAACAAAATTAAAATATGTTTTAGAGGATAGTCTAGATTACAGCACAAAATTTGAAGATCAAAGTCTTAACATAATAAAGACTAACAACTAAACATAAAGACTTTTTTGATTATAATGTCAGCTAAGATTGAGTTATTGAAATATATGAATATGCAAATATATATCTCACATTCCAACACAGGAACTATTTGAGAAAATGTGATTTGGACAGTAGTTACAGTAAGGAAAAAAAAATTCAGAATCCTGGATGGAAAAATATAGTTTATAGTAGAAAATCATGCCATGTTTTGTTTTATTTGTTTTGTGTTTTCAGATCTGTATTAGAAAATGTACTAATCATTCTAAACTGGAAAAATGCAATTTAAATTATCTAGATAATTTAAGTATTTGCATATGTACATTTTATCTAATTTATACAGATTAATTATTATATCAAATTGAGTTTCCTAAAGAAATATTGACCATTCTAATTTTTTTTGGCTAATTATATTGTAATTCTTATTAGATGATATGGTTTGGCTCTATTTCCCCACCCAACTCTCATCTTGTAGCTCCGATTTTTCCCATGTGTTGTGGGAGGAACCCAGTGGGAGGTGACTGAATAATGCGGGGGGGTCTTTCCCATGCTGTACTTGTGACAGTGAATGGGTGTCACGAGATCTGACGGTTGTAAAAACAAGACTTTCTCTGCACAAGCTCTCTCTTTGCCTGCTGCCATCCACCTAAGATGTAACTTGCCTTTCCTCGCCTTCCACCATGATTGTGAAGCCTCCACAACCATGTAGAACTGTAAGTCCAAAAAACCTCTTTCTTTTGTAAATTGTTCAGTCTCAGGTATGTCTTGATATATCAGCAGCATGAAAATGGACTAATATAGTAATTTGGTACCAGTAGAGTGGGGCGCTGCTGAAAAGATATCTGAAAATGTGAAAGTGACTTTGGAACTGGGTAACAGGCAGAGGTTGGAAGAGTTTGGAAGGCTCAGAATAAGACAGGAAAATTTGGGAAGGTTTGGAACTTCCTAGAGGCTTGTTGAATGGTTTTACCCAAAATGCTGATAATGATATGGACAATGAAATCCAGGCTGAGATGGTCTCACATGGAGATGAGGAACTTGTTGAGAACTGAAGTGAAGGTGACTCTTGTTATGTCTTAGCAAAGAGACTCACGTCATTTTGCCTCTGCCCTAGAGATTTGTGAAACTTTGAACTTGAGGGAGGTTATTTAGGGTATCTGCTGGAAGAAATTTCTAAGCAGCAAAGCATTCAAGAATTGACTTGGGTGCTGTTAAAGGCATTCAGTTTTATAAGGGAAGCAGAGCATAAAAGTTCAGAAAATTTGCAGCCTGACAATGTGATAGAAAAGAAAATTCCATTTTCTGAGGAGAAATTTAAGTGGGCTGCAGGCATTTGCATAAATAATGAGGAGCCAAATAATCCCTAAGACAATGGAGAAAATGTCTCCAGGGCATATCAGAGGTCTTCACAGCAGACCCTCCCATTACAGGCCTAGAGGCCTAGGAGGAAAAAGTGGTCTCCTAGGCTGGGCCCAGGATCCTGATGCTGTGTCCAGCCTAGGGACTTGGTGCCCTGCATCCCAGCCACTCTAGCCATGGCTGAAAGGAGCCAATGGCTTCAGAGGGTGCAAACCTCAAGTCTTGGCAACTTCCACATGGTGTTGAGCCTGCCAGTGCACAGAAGTCAAGAATCGGGTTTCGGGAACCTCTGCCTAGATTTCAGAAGATGTATGGAAACAACTAGATGCCCCAGCAGAAGTTTGCTGCAGGGGTGGGGCTTTCATGGAGAACCTCTGCAGTGCAGAAGGGAAATGTGGGGTCAGAGCCCCCCACACAGAGTCCCTACTGGGGCTGTGCCTAGTGGAGCTGTGAGAAGAGGGCCACCATCCTCCAGACCCTGGAATGACAGATCCAGTGATGGCTTGCATTGTGGTAGTTGGAAAAGCCATAGACACTCAATGCCAGCCCTGAAGGCAGCCAGAAGGGAGGCTGTACCCTGCAAAGCCACAGAGGCAGAGCTGTCCAAGACCAGGGAACCTACCTCTTGCATCAGCATGACCTGGATGTGAGAAATGGAGTCAAAGTAAATCATTTTGGAGCTTTAAGATTTGACTGCCCCACTGGATATTGGACTTTCATGTGGCCTGTAGCACCTTTGTTTTGGCCAATTTTTCCCATTTGGAATGGCTGTATTTACCTAATGCCTGTATCCCATTGTATCTAGGAAGTAGATAACTTGCTTTTGATTTTTCAGGCCCATAGGTGGAAGGGACTTGCCTTGTCTTGGATGAGACTTTGGACTGTGGACTTGCAAGTTAATGCTGAAATGAGTTGAGAATTTGGAGGACTGTTGGGAAGGCATGATTGGTTTTGAAACGTAAAGATATGAGATTTGGGAGGGGCCAGGGGTGAAATGATATGCTTCAGCTCTGCGTCCCCACCCAAATCTCATCGTGTAGCTCCCATTATTCCCACATACCATGGCAGGAACCCAGTGGGAGATGATTGAATAATGGGAGCAGGTCTTTCCCATGCTGTTCTCATTGATAGTGAATTGGTCTCATGAGATCTGATGGTTTTAAAATGAGAGTTTCCCTGCACAAGCCCTCTCTTTGCCTGCTGCCATCCACTTAAAATGTGACTTGCTCCTCCTTGCCTTCCACCATGATTTTGAGGCCTGCCTAGCCATGTGGAACTGTAAGTCCAATAAACCTCTTTCTTTTGTAAATTGCGCAATCTTGGGTATTTCTTTATCAGCAGCATGAAAACGGACTAATACATTAGGAAATAATTTTAATGCCAGCTAAGGTCAAACATGTATTTTAGCTTGAGTGTTATTAAAAGAAACAAATCCACACTAATTTCACAGTGTATGTTGCTTTGTTCCTTGTGAGGAGAGTCTAATCCCTAATCTTCTCATATAAAGAAAGTCTTAATTGCTTTATCATTTATAGACTATTTGTAGATCGATACATAATGAGTCATAAAAAGTAAAATAATTATGAGGAAATTTATTTCTGTTTGTGCAATGTTAGCAATAACTAATAAACTAATAAATATTTATCAATAAATAAATAAATAAATGATATTTATCAAATATTATTTTAAAACAGTTGAATATATATTATATATAATTTTTTATATATAAAATATAATGTTTTATACATATTATATATGTTGTTTGAAGAAGGGCTGTATTTGGGAAATCTCTAGCAATTTTAATAAATAGAAACAAAAATGATATTACTAAAATTAAAATAAATATAAATTCATATCTGTAGACTTTTATTGAAAAGAACTTTCATATTTATTAGTTTGAAAAGAATAACATTTAAACATTTCCAATAATTATAATAGGTAGAAAGTTACAGAAGATTTGTTGACTTAACAAATTTATGTCAAGAAAATTAAGACTATAACTAAAAATCAACCTCCACAATATTCCAGAAAAATAGTAAAGTATTCTTTTTTAAAAGGGTGACCTGCAGAATGGAATAGAAGTTGTTATAGGTTTTCCATATCACTTAAAATGTATTGAAAATATAGTTAGTCTTTATAAATTTAAGTTATCCCTTTATTTTCTGACTTTAAACTTGTACCAATTGATTGCACTGTTTGGAATCATAGTCTGTCTGCTAAAACAGAATTTCATAACAAGTGGTGGCTCATTGACTATTTCATTTGGGCCACTGGGTACTATTTATGAAGATTAAAATTAATGCTGCTAGAAAGGCTGGTTGTTTAATAATTACTACATCCCCTTGAGTCATATGATCAAATTCAAGATCTGTTAGGTATTTTTTCTAAAGTGTGTAGGTTGTACATCATTGTACAGTTTCTTGAAAAGGAAATTGAAAATGAAACATGGTTTTTTCCTTTGAAAATTCACAGATGGAAAAATAAGAGAGTCATTATTAATATTTAAATATATAACTATATTATTTTAAAAACTTAAAAAGTAGCAATAAGTAAAATAAAGATATTATGGCTGCTCAAACATTTGGCCAAACCTTATTCTGGCTATGTCTAAGAGACATATGCTTCTTGGTGAGATTAACTTTGAATCAATAGACTTAATACAACTCCCTTCCCAAATCTGGAAGGGCCTCACCTAATCAATTGAAGTCCTGGATAGAATAAAAAGGCTGAGTAGAGGAAACTCCTTTTACCTGGCTGCATAAACTGGAACACTGTTCTTTCCCAACCTTCAGACTCAGTTAATCATTAGTTGTTGGGTCTCAAGCCTGGCAGCTTTCAGAACTGGAATTGGTACCATGAGCTTTCCTAGTTCTCAGGCCTGTGGACTTGAACTGGAACTACACGTTGGCTCTCCTGGGTCTCCAGCTTGTAGACTGCAGATCTCAGCACTTTTCAGTCCCCTCAGTTGCAACAATTCCATATAATAAATCTCTCTCATATATTTGTGTGTGTGTGTGTGTGTGTGTGTGTGTCTTTGTAAATATATATAACAATAATATAACCTCCTGGCTGATACAGGAGGTTAGCAACCAAGGATTGTGTTGTTCAGGAAGATGAAACACTTTCCCCTAGAATGACTAGGTTATTTTAAAATTTATTTTTATGGTTTCCCTTCTTGCCACCTTTCTACCTCTTCCCTCTACCCTTTGCAGGATCAGGAAATTATTCATTGCTAATGTATCAATAAGCAGATAAGATTTTCGATAGAAATGCAAAAGAAACCTGCCCCAAGAGAAGATCATGAATACAAGGAACGATATTTGGAAGTAGTTTTTGAAAAATAAGGAATGGCTCAGTTTAGCTGGAGATATTGATAGAGAGTTCTATAATAATAACTTGGCATCTCATTGTGGAAGGCCTCATATACCAAACTAAGAGATTTACAATGCTGGATCATAATGAAAACTTCAAAATAAAAGGCATCAGTATGTCAAAGAGATACCTGCCCTCCCATCTTTATTGTAGCTTTATTCATAATAGCCTTAGTGTTCATCAATTAATTAATGGATAAAGAAAATGTGGTATACACACCAAATGGAATACTATTCAGCCTTTAAAAAGAGTGAAATTTTGTCATTTCTGACAACGTGAAAGAACCTTATGCTAAGTGAAATCAGCAAGGCACAGAAAGACAAATACCGCATATTCCCACTTTTAGGTGGAATCTAAAACAATTAAACTCAAATAAAAGCAGTCCGTAGAATAGTGGTTACCAGAGACTGGAAGGTAGAAGGAAGGAGTGAGATGCTTGTGAAAGAATACAAAGTTGTAGTTAAACAAGAGAAATAAATAATAAGTATTTAAGATGTTGGCTATGTTAATTAGCTTGATTCAATCATCCCACACTGTATACATATAGCATCACTATATACCCCATAATTACATGTAATTACAATTTGTCACAAAATTAAATTAAAGCACAATTTTAAAAGAGAAGCACTGATAGATAAGTGCTAGCAGTAAGAGCTAATGTTCTAGTGTGTAGTATACAGTCTTCCCTCCATATCCAGAATTTCTACATCTGCAGATCAAAAATATCAAAAGAAAAAGAGGAAAAAAGAATAATACAATCATTAGATTTTAAAAACAATACAGTCAACCAATTCATGTTGTTCACATTGTATTAGCTGTTATAAGTAATCTAGAGATGATTTGAAGTAGACGAGAGGATAGGCATAGGTTTTATGCCAATGCTATGACATTTCATATAAAAATCTTCAGTATCCATGGATTTTGGTATCCACAGGGGTCCTGAAACCTATCCCCTGTGGATACTGAGGGATAACTGTACTCAAAACCCTACTCAGCACTTTATATGTTGTAATTTATTTAATCCTCCTGTTATATTAAAATGTTGCTATTTTCTATTTTACAGATGAGGAAACAGAGGCCCAAAAAGTTGAGCAACATGCAAACCTCATACAATTAATTACTGGTAAAGCCAGTATTCAAGTAAAAAGTGAAGAGTAACTAAATTCAGAAAAAAAAATCACAGACTTATTAGAAAGATTTGGATGAGTTATGAGGCTTGAAATAGAATCGTAATTGTAGAAATGAAAAAAAGGATGATGTGGGCCGGTCGTGGTGGCTCACTCCTGTAATCCCAGCACTTTGGGAGTGAGAGGCAGGTGGATCACGAGGTCGGGAGATGGCGACCATCCTGGCTAACACAATGAAACCTAGTCTCCACTAAAAATACAAAAAATTAGCCAGGCGTGGTGGCGGACGCCTGTGGTCCCAGCTACTCGGGAGGCTGAGGCAGGAGAATGGCATGAACCTGGGAGGCGGAGCTTGCAGTGAGCCAAGATTGTGCCACTGCACTCCAGACTGGGCAACAGAGCGAGACTCTGTCTCAAAAAGGAAAAAAAAGAAAAAGAAAAAAAGGATGATGTGAAAGAGCTTTATGGTTAAAATATGCAGGACTTGTCAGTAAAATGGGTATAAAAGACAATAAAGTATGAAGATTCAAAATGTGTCGGAAAATCGTTACACCATTAGACAAAATGGAAAAACCATAACGTAGGAAAGAGAAGGCAGCAAATTTCATTTCAGACATTTATACTGGAAACAAGACACAATCTTTCTGTATATCAAAAGATAAAATAAAATTGTCTAAATTATTGAATTGACCATGGTTCAGTGTGACTGAGATTATTACTGTAAACCAAATATCCCCATAGTCCTCTAAATTCCCCAGTGGCATGCATCCTGGTTGAGTTACGTGACTAACTTACCAAAAGGATGTCAGCAAAATTGAGAGCGTTAATAGCAGGTGATTCCTCTCCCTGCTCTCATTCACATGAATGGAAATGAAATAAACCTACAGGATGTTGTTGCAAGATGGAGGTGGACTGGATGACTGATTCAAATTTAGGAGCAGAGACCTGATGAGTGGCACCTTACAATGTTTTCTGATATGAGCGAGAAATAAAACTTTTATATGTTAAGAAATTTATTTTGATTTTGAATGTTTATTGTGATTTGGAGGTTTTATATGTCAAAATGTTTATGGCAGCATAGCCTAACATCTTGACAAATATGCACAACAACGAAAATGTCTAGGTTTGGGTTTTAACTCATATTAATTGTGAATTTTCTGACATCTTTGATTTTTTTCTTTAAGAAATGGCATAAAATATTACTAATGTTAAAATCTAGTGAGCTAATAAATATGAATGTGTTTTGTAAGTCAAAACATCTATTTAAATAAAAATTATTTATATTTTGTTTATTGAATACCAATTAGAGATATTATTGTAAGTAACAAACATTATGGCTATCAGAATAAAAATAAGCAAATTGGGCTCTCAAAAAATTCATTACAGTCTATGAGAACTGTCTTGAAAATAAGCAGAATCCAGAATATCTCCAGAGCTGCACAGCTAATATGGCAACCAATAGCCATATGTGGCTATTGAACACTTAATATACAGATAGCTTAAATTGAAATGTGTTGTAAGTGTACAATGCACAACAGATTTTGAAGAATTGGTATAAAATGTAAAATAACTCTAATAATTTTTATATTGATTGCCTGTTGTCATGAAGACATTTTGTACATATTGGGTTAAATTAGATTATTAAAATTAATGTCACCTGTTTCTTTTTACTTTTTAAAATATGACTACTAGAAAAATTAAAATTACATAAGTAACTCATATTTATGGCTTTCATTACCTTTCCTTTGTAGAGTACTGATGTATGTCTTTCAGCATGTCTGCATGAGCTGGGGGATATCTCACACCAGAGGAGAAAGTTTCTAAATGAAGGACCCTATTTGAACATCTTCCAACTGAAAAATATCTACGAGTGTTAAGGAAGTATAAAAAAGAGGGAAAATGGTTATCCCTTTTCTAAAATTTTTTAAGAGTCACTTTTTAAAAAAGGGAGAAATTATGGTTCACATACAAGTATACAGTGAACACATATCAAAGATTCTATCTAAATCATCCATTACTGTGAGAACCAGTAAGATATTACAACCAAGTCAAAAGAAAATTTTAAGAATAATACATACAAAATGAATAAAGAATTCTGAATTGAATATACAAGTAGATGCAAAATGGGTCTATCCACAGGGCAATAATCACTTGCATTACCCTGGAAACAACTAATTTGCATTTGTATATGCAAGCATAATTTGCATTATAGTCAGTATTCAACAATTTATGGGCTCAAAGTCAATGATAGGCAGAGATACCTGTAGAAGTTAACCGGTCAGAACATCAATAATTTTTTCCCCCATTTCAAAACCTTTCACAATTTTTGTTGGCCGGATGAATAAAATTTTAAAAAAAGAGTTTTAAATTATTTTTCCACATGACAAGGTCAATTGATAGGAATTCTATATTCAAAATTATTATCTGTATAACTATGCATTCTGTGCCAAATATTTATCTTTTTATTTTGTCTTAGAAAGTTTTGTGTTTTATGAAGAAATTGCACAGAAATTAACAAAAATTATATCTTTTTAAACAAATGTATTTAAAACTGTTTTTTCCTAAAGCCCTTCTCTGGTAGGTATAATGGTCCCCCAAAAAGCTATCTACAGTTTAATCCCTGGAAACTGTGAGCATGTTACCTTAGATGGCAAAAAAAAAAAAAAAAAAAAAAAAAGAACTTTCCAGATGTGATATGTGATAGAGGTTACAGGGTTTAAATGGGGAGCGTATCTAGGATTATGCAGGTGGTCCCAATCTGATCACATGAGCACTTAAAAACAGAGAACTTTCTCCAGCTAGAGGCAGAAGAAGCAGATGTAGCAAAAGCCCTCAGAAACGCTCACTTATACTTACATCGAGAAAAACAAAAAATCAAGACAGTTACTTGTGGACTGCTGATGAAGAGGGGTGACCTCCAGAAGGTGAGGGTGATCTTGAGTTAGCAGTCTGCAAGAGAACAGGACTTCAGTCCTATAAATACAAGGAAACAAATTCTTCCAACAACAAATGAGCTTAGAAGGGACTTATATATCTCTGGCAATATAATGCCTAAAGATTGGGTCATCCAAAAAGAAATTAGACCTTTTCAGAACCTGCAAGAAATGGAAATGAGATTATCTCTAATTTTTACATAATCTCTGCCAAAAAATATGTTAATGGAATTGTCAGATTCTTCTTATTCAGGTAACACTCATTTTTTATTGTCTAAACAGTATTTTTAATTTATAATTTTATAACAAAAATTATAAATTTCGTTCAAAATAACCAAATTCACACTGAGAAATGAGCAGTTTTTAACAAACACTAACCATAATCCTAAATATGTAGAAAAATTTTAAAATGCCTGCATCACTGCAGTATGATTATGCCAACCACAAATCACTCTTCACTGGGCTTCGGAGAAACTATTAGTCATGAACATCCAAGAAAAATCCCTGTCCTTACCTTGCAGAGAATTTCTTCCTTTATCATGTTAATCTCTTTCATCTGCTTTTATACATATTTTGTTCATGCTAAACAACACCAAACTGGTTGCTTCCTTTATTCAAAGCCAGTATACTAATTAAAGAAAATTATCTTTCCCTGTGAAACTGCTTAAAACAGTCACTGAAGCAGCATTCTTAGCTGATTAAAAATATTTCATTAATCATTTCTCTTCTGGCTATCACTATAACAATTTATATTTCTTACACCTGTGAAATGACAAAGTTAGGGAAAGAAAATCTGCTAATGTCTTTTTAGAAGCAATTTTTAATGGAATCCCTTCTACAAAGTGCTCTTGCAGATTACTTCAGCTGTGGTGGGAATGGTTTTATTCATATGCATTCTTGGTGGGAAAATGACACCTTAGATACTAAATGTTACTTGCAACCACCACCTATATTTCTCATCCTTCCTTCCCTTTATGGTTGTTTTTTCTTTAGTTATTAGGAAACCATCACTGTTCCACTATAACAGTTGTTAGAGCTTTACCTTATCTGCTTACTGTCTTCCAGGAGCTTATTATTTCATTGTTTAGTGCTTACTAGCATGTGGATTACACATTTATCCTTTCTCTCCTAGACAAGCCATAACATAGTCTCTGCAACTGGCATCTAGTAAAAGCATGAGGTGAAAAATTCAGGGAAGAGTATCTTCCCAGGATTTGTAGAAAGTAAAATACCCTTTAAACCTGCCAATCTGGTTCTCTTAACAGTATCTCAGCAATGACTGTAGAAACACTAATTATAGGGTTCTTTTAATGTAAAGGAAAAAAAAAAAAGATTCTACATCGTGAAGCCCTTAACTTTACTTCCTAAATCTCACAAAGAAGAGATTCTCCTTTGGCTGCCATCATCTCCTGTGGATTACAATTTGCTACATTGCAAAAGTACATTGTGGTTCCTTGAAAGGCTTGAGCTTTCCCATGCTGTTTTGTGAATGGGTTCTCAACTATCAGCCTTGTGTGAGTCTGATGATGTCACACCATGCACTACTGAAAATGTGTTACAATTCACATCCTTAGGGAATCTGTGCAATGTGTTTAGAGAAAGCCTTGTGGAAGAATACTATCAGCCTTTAAATCAAAGAAAAGAAAGACTATGGAGATTTTCCTCGATGGAATGCCAACTCTGTGTAAAACTAATAGACAAAAGTGCTCTATGAAATGTAGGGTACTGGGTTGAAAAGCTTTGCTAGTATCACTGGAAGCTATCAAATTTGTGATGGTCTTTTAATAAGATTTTAAAATCATGAAAATCTAGAATTGCCCATCTTACATATGGTCACAATCTCAATCAACACAGCCAGCCACTTATTCCTGGTACTTACTCCTGTCTAATATAAAACATATTATGTATATTAATTCACTACATTTGAACTATTCCTTGGTAGAGGCATAATCTTAGTTCTAGAAGCACTAAATCTGCTCATACCAGAAAAAAAGATCTCAATCTTTCTTACTTATAATGAACATGGTAAATAATATGCCGATTAAAGCTCATTTAGCAGATCATGTCTCAGTGATCTTTTCAACCCTGTCCATCAACTCCATGAAATGCCGATGTCATACGGAAGGTGCTTTCTATATATTTTGGAAAGAATTGATTAAAGTACCAGATTAAGAAGTGTAACTATATATAAGTATAAGTCAATTCATGCATTCTCTGTAAAAGACAGTTTTTTCTGTGTTATTTTGGAGAGTGGGATAACCTTTTATATAGACAAACTGTCTTTTAAAAAAAATGCTTTGAGTCTCAAGTGACATCCCCTGTCACAACTGGTATCCTGAGAAAAACAACAAGAACAAATGGTGATAAGGAGAGCAATGTGGGGCAGAAGCAGAAGGTAGGAGATCAAATCATGACATAGGCATAAGCCATGATAAATACCTGGTAGAAAGAAAGCTTCTGGGAAAACATCAGGAGTATTCCAGTGGTAGACAAGATATGTGGAATCCAAGATTTATCTGCTTAATTGAATAAAGGATGAGGAAAGATCACTAATTATCTACATTTAAAAAAAAGAAAGAAATCAAAATAATAGAGAATGAAAGAAGAGAGAAGGGCAGATCACAAAGAAAACAACATTATAATAAGAAAAAGGGAGATGAAATAAATGTTCTTATTTGTCAGTATTCTTTCTTTTTACAGAGAATGAGATTTTCAAAGACAAACAGAAGAAAATAAACAATGGAAAACCCTGTGGGTGGGGAGAAGAGCTGAAAGACTCCTGTACAGACAGAAGTTATCAGAGTCATTTTTATAGATCTTGGCACAACTTCCCAGAAAGTAATAATACATTGGTGTTAGACATTTGGTCCATTTTCATAAAACCAAAGTTGCCAATAAAGTAATTGTGTTGCTCAAAAGTTTAATGAAAGATTCAAATTAAGAAACAAGAATAAAGTCAAACATTTTATCATCAAAAAAAGAATTAATTTAATACTGATGAGATCCAATTTAGTAGGTCAAAACAAAATTTGTTATTTCTTTTTTTATAATAAGACAGTGGATGCAGGAGAGATTGTGATCTAGTTAAGGCAAATTGGGACAAATTAACAATTATGATTAAAGTAGCATGTAGTTGAGGCCTTGGCCTAAGTGATATTAGAAAATAGAGCTTTGGCAAGTAAAGGATAAGTTAGTTACCTTATAGGTAACTTTGCACTGAATGATGGCAGAGGATAATTACAAAATGATGCCCAAATATTGTTCAATATGAGGCCTAGGACATAGGACATCATCTTAATGTGATCTGTAATCAGAGTCTGTGAGACAAATCACAATTACATATCAAAAATAGTAATTACTAATTAGAGCATTTATTTATTGTGTTAATGTGCCGGGCATTTAGTAAAGTGTTTTATTAATATCATGTAATGTCCACATGCATGCACACACTGTAAGTTATATGTACTACAAGTTGAGCATCTTTAATCTGAGATTCTTGGGACCAGAAGTATTTTGGATTTTGGTTTTTTTGGATTTTGGGATATTTGCATATATATGTGAAATGTCTTTGGTATGCGACTCAAGTATAAACATAAAATTTATGATTCATGTATGCTTTATATACATAGCTTGAAAGTAATTTTATACAATACTTAAAATAATTTTGTGCATGAAAATAGATTTATGTACATTGAAGCATCAGAAAGCAAAGGTATCATTATCTTATCCATCCACGTGGACAATCTGTGTTTGTTTGCCATCACCACCATTCCTGACTTCAAATTTATATGCTACCAATAAGTAATTATTTTCTTAAACTTATTTATACGTAAGTACTGAACAATAAATAATGTGACATACCGTAAATATGGTGAAAAAATAATTTGATCGGAGTAACTAAGCAGCATGTAGCGTCACCAGAATACCTGTATCAGTTATCAAACAATAGTGACAACAAACAATGGCAGGATTTTAGTCTTCATCTATGATGCTGCGTTTTGATTAAAAGGTTACTATAGGCCAGGTGTGGTGGTTCACACCTGTAATCCCAGCACTTTGGGAGGCCAAGGTTGAAGGATCACTTGAGCTCAGGAGTTTGGGACCAGCCTGGGTAACAGAGAGACCTCCTTTCTACAAAAGTAATTTTTAAAAAATTGGCCAGGCATATTGTCGCACACCTGTAGTCACAGCTGTCTGGGAAGCAGAAGCAGGAGGATCACTTGAGCCTGCAATATTGAGGCTAACAAGTGAGCCATGCTCGTGCCACTGCACTCAAGCCTGGGCAACAGTGAGACTCTGTCTCAAACAAACAAACAAACAAACAAACAAACAAAAGGTTACTGTGTACAATAATCCCCTTGGGGATGCCGAGTAAACTACGTATTGTACCCCTACCTTTTGAATGTAACCCATCACATGAGGTCAGATATGGAATTTTCCATTTGTGATATCATGTTGGTCCTCAAAACGTCTTAGATTTTGGAGCATTTTGGATTTCAGGTTTTTGAATTAGAGATACCCAACCTGTAGTATTATTACAAATGAAAAAAAAAAATGCAAGCTGAGAAGAGATAACGAATTTCTCTAAGAATCAAAAACTGTAAATAGTAGAGTTGGAAAAAAAATGAGGTTTGAGTCCAAAGCCAATTTCCTTTATATTCATTAAACTACCTCTTAATTCTTCCTCTAAAATTGGAAATGGATACAACCATTATGACTGAGAGAATCTAGCTATTCAAACTTCCTCAGAACATGTCTTAATATAGCTGAGCAGGCAAGTGTAGCCAGTTTCATGGGCCTAAGGAAAATAGATAAAATACATTTCTCAGTTTATATCATATTCAGAGATCTTTTGGGGCTCTAAAAGACAAAGGAAACAAGAGACGTTTTAAGAATTGATGTGAAAAAGAAGATAGATTTTATGCTGTGATGAGAAAAGATGAGAGGCGCAATGTAAAGTAATGGGATAAACAAGAGATACAGAAAGAAAACAGCAGGAGGAAGACAGCTCTTGCAGAGTAAGTGAGATAGAATTTGTTTATTTTGAGCACAGAGATTTTCACGAAGTCTAAATATGAGAAAAGAAAAGGGGAATGTGGAAGAAACACCTTGAAACAAACAAAAGCAGAGTAACTCAAAAGCAAATGAGGTGGAAGTCAGCTACAGATGGAAGTCAAGTATTTGATGTAAGATAAGAACCATAACTTAGAAATCAGGTAACAGAAAATAGCCACATTTGGAGAGCTGAAGGTGAAAAAGAAAAATGTAAATAAAATACTACAGAAAGTAATGCTGTTATGGGTCAAGCAGTTCTTGAAGTAGGGGAACATGAAACCCAAACAGAATAACTGGAAAGAAGACACGGAAATGTAATTTATGGTTCTCTAAGGAAAGAAAAATCAAAATGTCAGTACAAGGAAAATTCATATGAAAAAGAAAACATTCTGAAAGAACCAACTAGATTTGGAGCTCTTTACGATTACTAAAAAAGAAACACAAGCATACCAAAGGAAAAAATGGTATTTTAACAATAATTTGTTCAATTAAGTTGACCCCGCAATGTGAATCTAATAGAATGGGTATGCTCATAACATGCACGGTTAGTATACTTTCTCAATCTGTATCTTTCCTCTAGTAAATGTTAAAGTGAAAAATTTTAAGAGTAGGTAATTTTTGTACAACCTTTTAAGACATATGAGTTGGGAGGTTATTTAAAATGCAAGTTAAAAAAAGATGACAGGACTAAAATGGCCTACAGGGGAAAATATTTGAAATCAAATTTATTAAATAAGTTAATAGTTTATGTGCTTGTCAATTGATTTATTTGAATTTCAAAAGCAATCTTTATTCATTCTTCAACTTTTAAAAAATACTTCCCACAGCAGCAATACAAAGCTGCAGGTGTGACATGGTATTCCACAAACCATCATAATACATGCAAGTCAACCTATGTATCCCTGCATTCTACCTCCATAGCTTGAGAATGCCCTCCCTGGATCATCATTTTGGAGAACTTTTTCCTAGATCAAGTTTCAGAACAGCCATTCATCAATTGCCATCCATTATAAGACCAATTTGCTGCATGATCAATTTGACAAATTAACTCCCCCAAAACATGTATCTACTAACTAGTTATGAAGTTCATAGCAATTCCTATTCTGCCAAGGCCACTTATTTTTTAGTGTCAGTTGAAATATTTCACTTTTTTAAGAAACCTTGAATTTTAGGTATGGAATACAGTATTTACGTCAAAGAATAGTAACGCTAAACAGAGTGAGTATCTTACAAAACATTTTGAATTAAGTTTATTGAATTTTATAATTTGTGAATGTAGATATCTTGACTGGGGAACTGTACGTCTGCATATTATATTCAGATAGTCATGAGAACTTAAACTCATTTATATGTTATATAAACAGAATTAAAACAATTGACGACAAAAAATAGTTTACAACCCTCAGACACACAGGCTTTCTGTGACATAGGAATTTATATTGTATATGTACTGTTATTTCTACTAGAACTGTCCGCTTTATATGTATTTGCCAAAAAAAGAACAAGTGAGCTACATCAGCTAGCAGCTATTTTAGCTGACTACAGAGAGGAAAGAAAAAGGACTGTACATTTCAAATTCTTAAGTACTCCTCAAATGCCTAGTGTTTTATGTACAGATAGGGTAGATTTTTCCCTTAATTACATTGCAGACTGACATATATGTGTGAAAATAAACACCCAGGTGTAACTTCCACTTGGTGGTCTAAAAAACAAGTTGGTCTCTATGCACATCTTTATCAACGTGTACACAGTCAAGTGTGCAAAAATGAGGCATGGGTTTACTTCCTGATTCAGTGGTAAATAACACCTGCTACTATTATAAACTAGATTCATTAGCTAATATGTTTAGGCTCTATTTAGTGGAAAATACGAACAATTACTATAGAAAATTGAATGTAAATGTTAAAAACCTTGAAAATGTAAAAATATCTATCAAAATTTTAGAGGAAGGACCAGAAATAAAAGAAAGAATAAGCACATATTTTTTTCCATTTTTCATAGCTTTGTAGACTTACTTAATGCTTTCTATAATTATTTTTTAAATCATAAAGATAAGTACTCACAAAACCAAAAATTAAAATGTAGTAAGTCCAGAATTTGTGGGAGAGTAAATGTGCCCTAAATTAAATTCTCCAAGTTCATACTATGAAGTAGAATATGTCTACAAGATGTAAGTAGAGAAACAGAAATTTAAGGGTTGTTTTTAAGATAATCTTTAGAATAATCTGAAAGATTTATTCTAACTAGAAGATGTAGAGGGCATAAAAGATGAAAAATATAGTGTAAATAGATTAATTGACTCAATATATATTTCTAGTCGCTACCTAAGGTTGATAAATCAAGCAAAACAGGTTTAAAACTTTTTGTAGTTAAAAATTGGTAATTAAGAGCTCCAGCTTCTTTATTTATAAAAAAAAAAATTTAGGATGTACTGGAGAGAGTGCTGCTCCCATTCTCTTAACTAGAAAAGTCATGGGAAATTATAAAAACCATATATTTTCTTGAACCTATGAGATAGCTGAGGTTACAGGGCAACCAGCTAGGCTGAACTCTAAAGAAAAGCAGAAACTGCCAAGGAGAAATGTGGAAACATGCACTAAGTTACCTAGGACAGAGCAAGAGACAAATACATGACTTTCATAAAAGTGGATACAATTTTAGCGCAATTTATTCACAAATTTCTGCAAGTTTGATGTCAGCTACCACCAATAGTAAAGAACCTGTCTAGGAGCTGCAGACACTCACATACAACTCAGATATTTGGACTATAAGCCAGAGAATAGAAAATTACTATGATTAATGTGTTAAAAGCTCTACTATAAAAGGAAGACAACATGTATGAACCAATGGAGAATTTCAGCAGAAATATAGGACCTATAAAAAAAAATCAAATGGAGGCTGGAAGTGGTGGCTCACGCTTGTAATCCCAGTACTTTGGGAGGCCAAGGTGGGCAGATCACGAGGTCAGGAGATCGAGACTATCCCGGCTAACACAGTGAAACCCCATCTCACCTAAAAATACAAAAAATTAACCGGGCGTGGTGGCGGGCGCCTGTAGTCCCAGCTGCTCGGGATGCTGAGGCAGGAGAATGGCGTGAACCCGTAAGGCGGAACTTGCAGTGAGAAGAGATCGTGCCACTGCACTCCAGCCTGGGTGACAGCGAGACTCCATCTCAAAAAAAAAAAAAAGAAAAGAAAAAAGAAAAGAAATCAAATGGAAATGCAAAAAAGAGAGAGGGACAGAGAGGACATGTTTTAATAGGCTCATTAATAGACTCAATACAGTTAAAAAAAGAGTAAGTGAAGTTTAAGATAGATTAACAGAAATTACTCAAACTTAAACACAAAGAAAAAATGAGTTAAATAAAGAACTCAATCTTCAAGACATATGGGACAATATCAAATGAGCTCCCATAAGAAGAAAAGAGAGAATGAGGCAGAATAAATGTTTACGGAGAAAACAGATGAAAATTGTCCAAAATAACAAAATAGTATCAAAATTTTTGTCCAAAAATAACAAAAAAAGTATCAAACCACAGATCTAAGAAGCTGAGAGAGCTTTAAGGTCAATAAATACTTGTCCCCCCAAAAATGCACCTAAACACATCCTATGCAAACACCTGGAAACCAAATGTAAAGAAGGATACCATGGAAAAATTGATAAAACTCTAGCTAAGACAACCAAGAAAAAGGAGAAACAACACTAATTACCAACCTCAGTCACGAAAGAGGGGACATAAACACAAATCTAATTTTATTTAATAAGGGGATTTTATGAAATTTAATAAGGAATATTACTAAAAAGTTATGCTGATAAATGTGACAACACAGATTAAATGAACTATATATAGGTATATGTGTATGACCTCAATAATTCCATACATTTAAAGATATCAAATTTATAGTTGAAAATTGTCAAACAACAACATCAATACTCTAGGCCCGTATGACTTACTTCGCAAAGTCTAACAAACATTTAAAGATGAAATGAAACCAATTTTATACAAACTCTTTCGGAAAATTAAAGAAGGAACACATCCCAACTCCTGTAATAAGAGAAAAATTATAATGTCAAAACAAAACAGAAAAAAAAGAGACCACCAGAAAAAAAACCTGCAGTCCAAAATACATATTCAGCAAACACGCAGAAGTCCTCAGTAAAATATTGGCATATCTAATTCAGCTGCATATTAAAAAACGTAAAATATATCATGGTCAAATGGAGTTAATTTCAGGAATGCAGCACTGCTGTGACATTCTAAACCCAGTCAATGTATTTTCCCCATTTGAAAAGATAAAAGTACAATCATATATTTATATTGAAAGATGCAGAGAAAATATTAGTCTTCAGTTATGTGTGTTTCATTGTTCAACCTGGCCACATTATAATGATAAGCTAAAAAATGATGTCCAAGAAATATATATACACACACACATGCAAACAATAATACTAATAGATTAAATGTATGTATATATTTGCATATACACAGAAAATGTCTTATGTAATAGTGGCCACAGCTACTTCTTGGGGTCATGATCACATTTGGGAAGTTACAGGAAAAAATCAGGAATTGTATACTTTTTAAAAATACCTCTCTGCAGTTTGAATTTTTTTTTGTTAAAGCAGATTTATTATCTATATAATTAGTTTTAATATGAAAACAATAATTATGACTGCTTTTTAAGTGATATATTCTAAATGAAGCAGTGTATTAATTAGGGGGAAAAGGGGAAATTTTCTAAATAAATATCTTGGAATTGGCCAAAACATGCTGCCAGCCAATTTTTTTTTCCCACTATTACAGGTGCATTAATTGGGACGTGGAATAGATGATTAACTCCCTCTTGTGAGTGCTTTACCCTGTGAAGACAGTTATGGCTGAGAATTATAGCACCTTGTGGTATAGGTGAGGATGAAGCTGGCATATTAATCAGTCACTTTCTTTTTCAAGGAAAATTTTTCTTCCTTATTTATTTATACACAACTGCATCTCATTTTTCCATAGTAGATGGTTTTCAAAAAATGTGTAAATGTGATATTTTGTAAACAGAGTGACACTGTTAATAACCTGGTATGAGAACTTTACAAAGAACTGAGGGATCCATAAGGTTGAAGAAGACATCTGAGGGAACAGCTTTTTCATAAGAGGCCAACAACTCTTTCAGGTACTTCAGAGGTGAGAATCTGGGTGGGAGGTGGTCAAAGGAATGACCAGGTAGATTCAACTGTGACATCTCATCGCTCTCATTTTTCAAATTGCTTTTATTCTTTTATCTTTGGAGTTCTCTGTAAAATTGTATTTACTGAACGTGTTGCACATCATTAAAACATTTATAAAAACTTATCTCATCTACTAGATTCATTTTAAATTGAAAAATCAAGTCCTGCCTGCTGCCTTTATTTCATTACACTGTCTTTAATTTGTAACCTAACTTGTTTCTCATATCTTGCTTTTTCACAGAAATTATTGAAGAGATGATTAAGTTTATTTTTACATCACATTTATATTAAACATAGTTATACAATTACAGTTAATTTTAAAACTCTAAAAATACCACTTACATTACAGTTTTTATCATGTATTTCTAATTTTAAAAGGAATAGATATTCATGTTAATAATAAAAATTCAAAATATAAAAAATAACATGGTATAAAATGTAATTATCTTTCTTTCTTACTAAAGTTCCTTGACCCCTTTCCAAGATGCAATTACTTTTAACACATTTGTGAAGATATCTCTAGAAATTTTATATACAAATCCAAGTTTGTGTATGTATACAAGTATAGATATTAATGAATAGAAATAGCTTTTTACAAGCCTAAACGTCTGTGTTCAACTTTCTTTACCTGGCCTTTTTATTTTATTTTATTGAAAACAAAATAGAGATGGGGTTTCGTTATGTTACCCAGGCTGATCTTGAACCCTTGAGCTCAAGTAATATTACTGCTTTGGCCTCCCAGAGTGCCTGGATTACAAGCATGAACCACCATGCCAGGCCTGCCCTTGCCATTTTCTAATCATACACATTAGAAGTTGTTTTATAACTGATATTTATGGTTAAAATAAAGAGATGTGTAAAATATAATTTCAAATCACACTATTTATTACCATACAGTTTGTCTTTTCTTTTGGTTCACAATGCTTAAATGGGGAGGATAACGAAAACAAATCTCATGGGGAATATACACTATAGACGAAGTACATCAACTACATAGTGAGTTCTGAAATTATTAAAGTCCAGTTGCTCACTTAGGATGGAAGCAGGCCTCTGTAGAAAGTATAGTCTAATTAAAGTTTGAGTTGTGCCTTATATCAGGGGTTCTCAGGAGAGACCATCTGACCCGACACAGCTGAGGTTCCTAGATGCTAGTGGGTGGTTCTGGTGTTGCTGGGCAAAGCTTTGGGGGTTAGCTCAAAGGCAAATAAGGTATGGCCCTGACAGCATGAGCTCTCCTTAGAGAGGCGACTAACAGTGCAGCCCTTCTAGGGCCAAAGCTCTCAAACTGTCTGTGAAACTTTTAGGATTATATGTGTTTTGGATTCCAGTAGTTGAGGTCAATACTCAGATATGGGGCCTGATAAGTTGTGGCCTAACATTCTTGAGGGGAGAGGGCTTATCACAGCAAAACATGTCACTCATGTAGCAAATCGTGTAAGTGCTTGGAATCATTTTAAAGCTACAAAACAATAACACTACATGAATTTCTCAAAGTGCTGTGGAATATATCATTGTTAGATGCACCAGAATTTGATCATAATTTAAGCTGATCAAATAATGTTTTTTAAATTTAGTTGGCCAAATGAAAGTCATTTAATAAACATAGCTGGCGAAGTGGAGGTCATATTGGTTAGTTTTAGTAATTTCCTATTACAAAATATATTATCAATTTAAGATATCAGTTGCTCCAGTAATCCTGAATAATAAACCACCTGAAAACCAAAGGCTTAAAACAATGATCATTTAATATTGCTCATGAAAATACAGTTTAGGTAGGTCATTATCATGGTCTTGGCTAAACTGATCTGTCTGCCATAAATCGCAAATTGAGGAGACTCCTTATTTGATCTTGTCTGAACTCAGACATGTTTCTGCATGTTTGAGGGTTGAATACATTTTGTCTAACCTAAAATGGCCCTTGACTGAAACAGCTAAGATGACTGAAAATAAGGAAGCCCCAGCTCTCCTCCATATCTCTCACAGCGTTTTATGTATTACTCAGTTTTAATTTAATGAGAGAAATGTCTTGGGAATGTTTCTGAGGATACTAATTATAATTTGTTTTTATGTTTATAGCTATATTATCTTTTCCCCTAGAGTCAGTCTCTTTGGTCATCTTGGGCCTTCTCTTATGTGCTAATGGTTTTTACTCAAGAGAATTGTGTTCCTGCTTGTCCAGTTGTGTTTATGAATGAAAGATTACATTAGAATAGGTTACTGGCAAAAGATATTAGCACAGGTTACAGGAACGCTTTCCAAACAATCTCTCTTTTGAATAAGAGTGTGAACCATCTCTTTATAAATGGAGCTGACATTTCAACAGGTAAAGCTCACTAGAAGAAATCTGGGAAAGAAGCAGGGAGTGTGAGTGTGGACTCCAACTGCCAAATAAATGGGATTTTACTCTGGAAATGTGAAGTAATTTCATTTATTTTACTTATCTGCCTATTTGTCCCTGCCCCTTACTCCACCATCTCACTATATATTTTTTTCTTTTTTTCTGTTTAAGGGATTCAGCTGACACTTCAATCTGTTTGCTACTCTATCAGGGTAAACGCCCTATCTAATTTCTTCTGAATTTATATCTATCAATTAATTTAAGCAAAGTTCTTGAGATTTGTGCTGTGGGCAAGAGTTGCTGTTCTATTTATAGAGAGTAAAGTGAAAGTGTCCTAACAGTCAAGTTATTTCAATACAGTTTCTAAATAAATTAATCTGATGCTTCCTGTCCCAACCATTCTCCATCCTGCACTGTTGATTCTTGACTTCTTTTGCTGAAGTTTCCTTGAGTAGAGCCTCGCTTAGGTCTAGTGACTTGAGTCATGATATCCTTTGCTCTGATTTCTGCCCCATTCACATTGTATGTTCTATCAACATTCCTAAAAATACTCAGGACTTCCCAGGGGAACCTCTCACGTATACAAACATTGCTGTTGTTGAAATAATTTTATAATTATTAAATAACAACATTTATATGTAATTTCTGTAATGTCTTAAATAAAGTTGAAGAGAGATATTCTGGTTTCACCATCAAGAACTAGAAGTATTAATCAAATATGCAATGAAATGATTTTAAAAGAAAGTTTACTATTATAACAAAACTTACTGATTCAATGAAAAATACCTCAGGATGTGCATTATCATATGAAATACTTTGTCCTCAAAACCTATTTAATCAATGATCTGACTCTGAACAATAATTTTGTGTTGGTATATTTTCTGATGGCTTATCTACTTTCTATCCTCCTATTTGTCAACAGCAAATGAGATCTGCTATTGTCTATAATTTTCCATTAGAGAGCAAATAGATTGTAATTCTGCCAAACAACATTTTTAAGTAGAATTAGAAGCGTAAAATCTGATTTTAATTGTTTAAGATTTCTAAACTTGACAAAAATATGGCCTAATTATAGAACTAGATTTGTCAAATCTGTAGGATAGAAATATTTTCTTCTATCTTAATGCTTATATGTATAAGATATCCTTATATCTAAAAAATGTAACTTTCCTTAAGATGACTGCAAATCTGGAGTCAACTAACTCAGAGAATCAAGCACTTAACTGTTCATCATTCAGAGTCTGACAAAATTAAGTACTGTTACCAGTATCTTTGGAAATGACCATTAAGATATATCATGCCTCTCTCTAATAAACTTGTAACAGATACAAAATTGCTTATGGGAATTCTTTCCAGAATACCATCTCTAAACTGGACAGCTGGTAAGAAAACTGGTCTATGTCATCTCAGAATAGATCATTTATTTTTTACCCTTCTCAAGAGATTACCCCTTTGGCAACCAAACAGTTATTGCCATCTGCAGCAGGTAAACAACATAAATATCATGTTAAATTCTGATGAATTTCAGTGGTCAAAATAAATATTTGCAGTTTTTTGGTGAAAATTGTACATATATTTACAAATTGACCCCCTCCCCATGATCTCTTTCCCCCTCTCTTTTTCAAGTATGTTACCACTTTCCTTCTCAGAGATGTCTAAGTTAGTGTCAGGAATTAGCCATTTAATGTAATCATAAATCACCCCAAGAGATATTAAATAACCATATTTCAAACTGAGATCTGTGGTTTAAGTTTCATTATTATAGTATTCCAATTTAGTCAGCATCCAAAAGATACAATCTTATATCAAATTTCATGAATTTCCCCTCTGTTTTCCTTTTCTCTCCCTTTGCTCAGCAATAAAGCCCATGTAATCATTGTATACTACGCATATGGGTTAGCAATGACTCAAAATTACCATACGTGTTTTAAGTAATAAGACAATTTTGGATTTTCTACTTTCTAAGACCACCTATACTTTAATACTTCATTCAGGGTTTTTCATGACTGTAGTCATGATTAGAAAAATGCCTAGAACCTTGAATAATTGCTTATAGAACAGCCTCTTCCTCATCAATAAAATATGTGTGGGAGGCTTTACATGAGACAGAAATAAACGTATTTTGTTACCTCACTGAGATTTCAGAGTTTATCAGTTGCAAAAACTAGTGTTATTCTCTCTAAAACAGATATAGGTATCGGAAGTGGTAGAAGAAACTTAAAATGTATTTTACTGTTTTCCTAATTAAGAAATGGGTGATGATGAATTTCCTGATAAAGACTAAACAGATGGGCAACTAATATATTTGGAAAAACATTTGGAGATGTATGACCTATGATAATTTGGAAGGTAGACCATATATCTTCTGAGGCTGATACTCAGAACTCCAGCGGTTGGGAAGAGTCAGTATAATGGTATACATTGGCTTCTGATTTTGATGAGTCATTACATGATTGATATGACCTCAAATTAGAATGGTTTTTATTTTGGTGGCCAAAATCAGTGGAAATAGATTTAAGAAAAATAAAACCTGTAAAAGAGAAGAATCAGAAAATCCAATTGGTTGTAGACCTTAAACAGTTAAGATATAAGACTAAGGGAGACCTTAACAGTCAAACCTATGAAGATTCAACTCAGCAATAAAAGTCAGTTTATTCATTATCTGTCACTGCATAACAAATTACTCTATGTAATGGTCTGAATTATTGTCCCCAAAGACATCAGGTCCTAATCTCTAGACTCTCTGAATGTTACCATATACAATAAAGCTTCTCTATATCTGATTAACTTAAGGGTTTTGAAATGAGATTTATCTTGGACTATCCATGCAATCGTTAAATTTCACTACAAATGTCTTTATAAAGAAAGGCAGAAACAAATTAGACACAGGGAAGACAAAGCAAAAATGGAGGCAGCAATTTGAGCAATGAATGCCAGAAGCCACCAGAAGCTAAAGGAAGCAAACAACAGATTCTCTCTAAAGTTTCCAGAGGAAGTGTGGCCCCAATAGTACCTTGACTTTGACCCCCCAGTGAAATTGATTTCAGGTTTCTAGACTCCAAAATAGTGAGAGAATAAATTTCTGTTGTTTTAAGCTACCAAGTTGTGGCAATTTGTTATCACAGACATAGGAAACAAATATACCTTAAGATTTGGCAACTAAAAACAGTAAATATCTACTTTCTCACCATTCCTTTGAATCAGGAATTCAACAGTGTCTCAACTATATTCTGGCGAAGGGTCTCTTACAAGTCCATGATCAAGGTGTCTGTGTTAAACTCAAAGTTCAACTGGGGAAGGATCTCTTTCCAGGCTCACTGACGCGGCTATTGGCAGGTCTCAGAAAATCAGCATCTAAGCTCACTCATGCAGTGCTTCATGGCAGCTGTCTTCCTCATAGTGAGCAATCAGAAAGACCACAAGAGATCACTAAGATGGAAGCCACGTTCTTTTTCTAACTACACCTCCAAAGCGAAATCTCTTTATAGATGTATTAGTTAGAAGTGAGTCAATAAGTCCATCTTACATTAAAGGAGACCAGATTGTACAGGGCGTGAATACCGGGAGGTAGGAATCGCTGGGGGCCATGTTTCGGGCTGACTACCACATAAGCATAGGTTTTATGTGAAAATACTTAGAAACACTGAATAAAATGTGTTTCATTTTAGCCCAGGAGTAGGTGGGAATAAGAGGACTGGGTGTTGCTGTGGGCCCAGATAACGGGTTGCATGTTAGAATCCAGTGTACAATTCTGAATATTCCAAAAAGGGTAAAACTATACAAACAAAAACAAGATTATTGCTTGCCAGAGGCTGAGGATAGGGATAATAGACAACTGACTACAAAGTGGCACTTTTGGGGTAATGAAATATTCTGTATCTTAGTTGTGGTTGTAGTTACCACAACTGTATACATTTATCTAAAGAAATCAAATTATACTCTAAAATGGGTCAATTCAGAGTACATAAATCATAAACAAAAAATACTACCTCAATGCAAACCGGATCAATATTCAAAGTACAAGTAAGTTGATTCATATGCAAAAATTTCTGGTGAAAGAAAGATGAAAATATTCCAAATTATTTTATAATGTTAGAATAACCTGAGCCTCAAAGCCAGAGAAAAAGACTAAACAAAATGATCAGAAAACTAGAGGTATATCTCTTTCATAAACATGGATACATAAGCTCTAAACAGAATATTAGCAAGACAAATACTTAAAAATATAAAAAGGGTAAGATACCTCTCAACAAATTAGAAATAGGAAGGAATTTCCTTTCGTTTACTTTAAAAGATTGTAGTTTCTATTGACTACCAGAGAGTGTTTTTGCAAACAGTAACCATGATGGATTTAAAAAGAAAACAAAACAAAACATTTTTTTTCCAAGCTCAGAATAATAGAGTACTACTACGAATGAATTCATTTAATTTGTCAGATCATTTTGGTTGCTTATCTGTCATCATTTATTTCTTGTTAATAAAGTCCAATTTTGTTCAGAGTGGCATTTGTGTCTTTCTACACATCACAAAGCAAAACCAGTTTGAGCTGTCAATACAATCCTGTATTCCTTTGCGAGATGTAGGACTTACCAGCTTCCCACTGCTACCAGTTATGGCCATATGTTCCTATTGTGTCAAATGGAACACAGGGCATGGACACTATTTGATTGAAGTTGCTTCTAGGAAAACTTACGAACAAAAAGAAGCATACCTTTTTCTTCTTGGCAAAAAGAAGGCAGCACCTTTCCTAGCTTGAATGTGAATGTAATGTCCAAAAGTGAAGCAGTCATCCTGCACTCATGATACAGAGAGTAACTGGCTGAGGATGATATACAGAATAATGACAACAGCCTAGTTACTTGAAGGCATTGTTAAGCTACCATACAGTACTCAGCTGTCTCTAGACTTCTTATCATGAGGCATTAGTAATGCCTTTATTGCTTTAAGCATGTTTAAGTAGAAAATTTTGCATTGCAAGCTGAAAGTGCTCTGATAGAACTACTAATCATACCAAGTTATCTTCTAATTAAATTATCCTATTTCCAACTAATGAGAAAGGAGACAGTGGTGGCTTGGTCCTTTTTCCTTGCAGTAAAAATTATTCAATTCAAAAATCTTATACTTGAAAATAATCTATTTTCTCAAAGAATATATGTTTTAGTCATGGATTCCCATGTAACACACTAATACTAAATTAAGTGGCTTAAAACAATGATTTATCATTTATCAATATGTCTTATTTTGTGAGTTAGCAGACTTATCTAGATATTATTTCTGTTGCACAGGGAGTTGGCTTAGGATATAAGCATGTATTTATTTAGCTGCTTTTTGCGGGGTGGGTGACTGGTACAGTACATTCAAGGTGTCTTCATTCACACTCATGGCACCTCTGCTGTGGTGTCTAAATGCCTGTGGGCTGGCTGGATTTTCTCCTATCTCATCACTCATTTATTTTGCCAGAGCTTCTTTACTTTGTGACTGGTTTTCAAAAGAATGAAAATGGAAGCTGCCAAGTTTTCTTAAGGGGTAAACCCCAGGACTCACACATCATCACTTCTGCCCCATTCTCTTTGTCAAAATAAGTCATAAGGCCAGCAGCAATTCAAGAAAGAGGAAATAATTTCCATATCTTGGGAGTGATGATGGAATTTTTGGTGGCCAACTTGTAACTGGATAACCCATAAAAAATGAATGCCATTAAGTCACTTGTAATAATAATTCCTCCTACCTTCATAATACTTTCTTTCATAACAATATATGTAATCTTATTGTAGTGTTTAAAGTAAAATTATTTTCCATTAAATGAAGAATTGCTAAAAACAAAGGGGGAAGATATGATTTAGATTCAAATATATATTACTTATTCTTTACAAATTCAAGATACATTTGACTTTATTTCAGAATGGAGATACAATATAAATTTTTTACATTGCTATTTTACAATGAAAATTTTTCTTTATTCAAATAGAAAACTTGTTTCTGAATTATTCAGAATATGAAGGTAATTGAAGAAAATTTCTCTATTACCCAAAAGAGTACTTGAAGAAGTACTACAAGTAACAAGAGAGAGTCCAATAATGTCAAGTATGCTTATATATGCATGATTGCATTATTAAATTACAATACATGTCTTTTACTTTGTCTTAAAGAACTATTTGTATTCTAGGGTTTGTAAAGGACATTTTGGGGTAACTTACTATTTTCTTTTTTAAAGGAAGTTCCTGGAAGCTCAACATGAGAGAATTATCTAAAGTACCATGACCTATCAATTCAATATCTTTTTAAGGGCATAACAAGTAGCTTTTATATTCTATAAAATTCATTTTATCCAGTCCAGGAAATCTTTATCATTCATTGTGTCAACTTGGTTAAAAGATGAATACTTTAAAAATCCAAATTGCTGAAAATTAATAACACTTAGATAATATTGTATTACATTTTATTTTTCGGCACTACATTCTACAAACCCTAAGTCTCTTCTACACTCAGGCATGTGCTAATATACATATATGCCATAAATACATGTGTGTATGTATACACGTGCACATGCACACACATATGATCCATACAAAGAAAATTAAAAAATAGACCAGACTTAGAGAATCACTGTCACTACATCCATCAGAGTACAGCTGAGCTGGTAATTAAACTGCCACACTCCCACAGACAGGCCTGCAGCTATGTAGCACACATCCCAAGAATATGACTGGATCTAGATTCATATTAAAAAACACAATTAAATAGGCTTACTTCAGACAGATTCAATCTCTCCACTCATAGAGTGCAAATTATGAAATTTTGGCCAAGAGGAGTAGCGAAATACCCAATCACTATCAAACAGTATGTACAAGGATAGAAGCTAAAAATGATATTGTGTATTTTAAAGCATTCATCCTTCAGATTACGAGTTAAAACTTTACAAAAATTGACTTATAGCATTGGAGTGTATAGCAGTAAACTATAATAAGATGTATAGTCTCATAATAATAATGTCTAGTCTCATAATAATAATGTCTACTGGTGCCTATTAATAATATTCTGGCTTTATTTTTGACCCAAGAAAAGTTAAGTCAGAATCAATCTCCTTGGCCATTCCTAGAAAAAGTTAAACTAAAATTCAAAATGACCGACAATATTACATAGCATATAGGCTGCTACTACGGATAAAAACTTCAATCCTTATAATCTCATTGAAGTCTATATAGTTCCCCAAAATAGCAGTTACATCAGAGCTATTAAAAGGTAGATTTGCATAGTTAATTATATGTACATAGAGCTTATTTACTTTTACAGATGTTGTTCTACCCTACATCATTCTTTTTTGTCAATAGGAAAAAGTACCATTCACACTTTGGATGGAAACTTATGCAAGAGAATAGCATTTTCCACATTGCCTAAAATAAAAGAAATTATAGCCGTAAAACATATGTCTCTTAAACTCCCTGGCCAATGCCTTCCACCTCAAGTACATCATCACCGACTCCCTTTTGATGGAATATTCCAAAAAGTTTCCTGTATGGTTTGCTGCCACTCTTTGTTTCGCAATAAAATAGGTAGCTCTAAGCCCATAATCCCAGTGGAAACTTAGTATAGCGAAATAAGATACCAGAAGATGCATTACTAGCACATCTCTGCATTCAGCTAGTTGATTGCTCGCATGGTCTCCAAGTAAGAATTTTGTTCCATTGACTTTGAAATTCTATAGAGAGTTCTTCTTGGGTGTCTGACCTAAGATAATAAATAAGAACCACAGCAGACAAATTGGAGCTATAATTGTTCTATAACTTATTCTTCCCTATTGACCTCACTGTTGTGCATTGTAAGTTAGGTACTTGAGGATTTTTTGCCTATATAATCTTTGATGGAATAATAAACGTATTCTCTTTTTCTAAATCATTATCTTGATTTTGGTTCACAGCCTTCCTCTGACTTATGATGCTATAAATCAGGATTCATAGCCTATGTCTAGATCCCAGCAACTTTTGACAACAAGCTGTTGGAAACTCCTCAGGTTTGACCACTCTTTCTGCATTTTCTGTCTGACTTTTCATTGACCCTTTTGTTTTTAGCCTTCAGCAATCTATATTTTATCAGTGATCCTTTGACACTACCAAGAACAGTGAGCACCTTGACCCTTTCCTTTTCATCTCCATCATTTGCATAACATGTTTACCATAATCTTCCTTATAGTGTAAGTAAAGTCAGTTCAAGTCTTTCAATAGCCACCTTCTTCAAATCATGTTCCTGTCCATTGACTAATAAAGGCAAAATTCTCCATAGGGTGTATTTTCTACAAAGGGGACTCAAAGCTATATTTAATACTCAGATATATTTTGTTTAGTTAGCACATTGACATTGACAGAAAAATACAATTCGAATGCCCTTTGCCACTACCACTCACTACTGCCTTTTGCTTGCCCATTCACAAAAGTGCATTATTCTTTTAGTTTGCAATCTCTACATTAATGCTGAAGATAAGAAGATAAGAAAGAATACCATACTTTACTTAACCTTCCCCACCTTCTTAAATGCAAACATATGTCAACTGTGTCTTAGGAATCCAGACCTGGATTGTCTCCCACAGAATGATAATGTTTAATTTTCTCCCAGTGGGTTAGGGTCAAATGATATACAGCTCATGCATGGGGATTCATCTCACTGCCAAGGAGGCCTTAACTAAATGCTCCCTTTTTATGGACATAGGGAGATTAAGAAAGGGATACAGGGAAGGTCTAGGAGAACTGATTCCGAGTGGAAAATGTGCCTCGGCCAAGGTGTCCCAAATAAAAGGAGGCCTCCAAATGAAAGTGCCTGGAGTAGGAGCGGAGATAGGCGTATGAGTATGGCTGACCCAGGGGAAGAGGTGTTGAATTCCTGACTGCAACTCTCTCAGATGCCTGCAATTCACTGGATGTGCACCACGTCTGGTGTGAGGAGGGCAGTCCCTGCCTTTCCACACCATCCACAGGCCTGTCAGGCAAAGCCTTACAATTTTCTGCGGCTAGGCCTACAAGATTACACTTACGGTTTTGGCCTGGAGCTGCACTTCTCAACAACTTGTAATTTTTTTGTTGAAAACCAGACCTGTCGTTTTCAGTAACAGAAACTGAGCTGAATAGGCCTTCATTCAGTGTGAGATTTTATGTGAATCTGACTAACAGGCTGTGTTTAATGGTTTTTCTACCTGTGGGTACCAAGGTATTCAAATTCCTCTAGGGTCCTAGGTTTTTCTCTCCTTTTGACTTTGGGTTTCCTTAAGTATGACACAGGAGGGTTGTCTGTGATATAGTTTGAATATTTGTCCCCACCAAATCTCATGTTGAAATTTGATCCCCAGTGTTGGAAATGGGGCCTGATGGGAGGTGTTTGGGTCATGGGGGTGGATCTCTCATGAATGGCTTGGTGCTTTCCTTGGGGCAACGAGTGAGTTTTGCTCCATTAGTTTTTGAAAAAACTGATTGCTAAAGAAAGCCTGGAATCTCTTCACCTCTCTCTTGTTCCCTTGCTTCCTCTCTCACCACCTGCTTCCCCTCCAATTTCCATCAGGAGTGGAAGCAGCCTGAGTTTCCCACCAGAAGCAGATGCTGGTGCTATGCTTCTTGTACAGTCTACAAAACTGTGAGCCAAATAAACCTCTTTTCTTTATAAATTATCCAGCCTCAGATATTCCTTTATAGCAATGCAAAATAGACTAATACACTCTGTCTTGCAACTCTTTCAACTGTAATCCACTGTTATTATGCTGGAGCTCTCTTGGTCTTTTATTGGGCCTGTGAATATCTCATGTATTTTGGAAATCAACCTGATTTATCAAGTTGAGAAATCAACTTTTTTGATTTCTCCCTTAGATGAGACAGAAAGGTTAGAGGACACAAGATTGGGAGTAGTGTCCTTCCGCAGCTGGAATAGGGTATAGTAAATTCTTTTGCCATGGAGGACAGGCTCTTGTTATTGGGAATACCTGGCATATTTCACAGTGATTACTCTTCCCTTTCTCCTGTCAAAGACACAAAGGAATCTTTCTTTGTGATATTCGCTGTGTGAACCTGGCTGGTTTCCTGGATGTAAAGCCCTTGAAAGTACAGAAGTTTCCCCCAAACTGTGGCTTTTAGAAGTTCCTCACTCTCATGCTAATCCACAGCCTCTAGCAATTCATCAAAATTACCATTTATGTATGTGTTATGGCTTTTATACCTTGAAATATAATATACACATACCATTTATGTGTCAGGTTATGGCTTCAGCGTCTTTTGCTTCAGGAAAAAAAAAAAATCTGAGCTGTGGATCTTTTCACTTGCCTCTCCAGGTACCAGAATGACAATTTGCCTTGCAACGTTTGTTCTATGATGTGTCCAAGAAAAGTCACTGATTTTAAGTGTGTTAAGCTTTTTCTTGTTGTATTATCATGGCTAAAACTGGAAGCCTTCAGCATCTTTTTTTCTTCCCTTTCCAATAGCTTAAAATGTGAACATGATGCAATGTAGATAAGGAAACGGAAGTTACATTTTGAAGTTGGCAGCACACTGAAAGAGAAGGAGACTGGGTCTCTGATGACATACATCATGGAGCAACCACTCAACCAGCTCTGGACTCCTGATGATTCAAAATATTCACACTAAAGAGAAGTTGAATTCTATGTTGTTTAGGTCGTGGCACTTGAGGATTCCTTTTTATTTTTATAAAAGAAGCCTAAACAAACCCTGACTAATAAAGTGGTATTTACATTATTACTTTGGATCTACCATTGCTGATCTGGTTTTCTTTTCCTTTTTCCTGAATACTATTTTTACAAACAAACAACATTTATTTTTTCACAAAACTATAGCTTATGAAACATCCACTTTAGTTTTATTGAGAATCCTTAATGAATCTCCTTCAAATATTTCTACTCCGGAATTTTATTCACTAAATATATTAAATTCTTAAGATTCTGTAATTATGTCATAGCAAAGCAAGTACACCCTCTGCAGTCTGAAATAAGCACTCTAATTTATAGTCATGCTTTAAAATTTCCTTCCAACAAATATGAGACAAACAAAAAGTTCTGGTGTCCAGAAATGTTAAGTTCTGGTGTACAGAAATGTTAAGAAGTGCTCGGCCAGGAGCGGTGGCTCACGCCTGTAATACCAGCACTTTGGGAGGCCGAGGCGGGTGGATCACGAGGTCAGGAGACGGAGACCATCCTGGCTAACACGGTGAAACCCCATCTCTACTAAAAATACAAAAAATTAGCCAGGCGTGGTGGCGGGCGCTTGTAGTCCCAGCTACTCAGGAGGCTGAGGCAGGAGAATGGTGTGAACCTGGGAGGTGGAGCTTGCAGTGAGCCGAGATTGTGCCACTGCACTCCAGCCTGGGCAACAGCGAGACTCTGTTTCAAAAAAAAAAAAAAAAAAAAAAGTGCTCCCCCGAAAAGAAAAACACACACACAAAAACCCCAGATATTTTCATGCAATAAAATACATTTAGGCAGTACTGCAAACTAAATTCTCTAAGATTTACACTGCTCTTTTGTATATGCTTTAAAATTTGAGTTAGTTTATCCTAATTATTGGGGACTTTCTATTTATTGGATTATAGCCAAGAATTATTCCCATTTTTTTTTCCAATAAGTATCCCCCAATACCCTGTGCCAATTCCCTTTGTTTAATTGGGTACATATTACATTTTAAAAAGTATGACTCAATAACTCTATATTCAGTTTACATAATAAAGAATAATCTTAGTCTAAATAGTCCTGTTCATTTCAAAATTTCAATTTCAAACTCAATTGAAACTTTCCTCTTTCCCTTCCGCAAGCTTAGGCTAAAGTGTGGTTCTAGCACTTTGTTTAGAGGAGGGAAGCACTTAGTGTAGCCCTTCAATGTCTCTTACTTTTCCTCTTTTAACTGTGTCAAGCTTCTTCAGTATTGAAATGAAAAGGAGGGAAATGCAATATTGCAAAAAAAAATCTTTCTTGATTGAGTGAGCTAGCAAACATCTCTCTGTTGATACTTCTACTTCTCTGACTAATACTGACATAGTGCTATTTAGGCCGCAAAATGAATGTCAGTTTTTGGAAATGACAGGAAACTTCAGGACATTCACACAAAAGAAAAATGGCGATTTGTGGCAGCCACCCAAGTTCTAGCTCTGTGCTTGAACACATGTGGATTCTTTACAGAGTATGAAAAGAAGCCTTCCTACTGCACTTTCCTGATGGGGAAAAATTCCACTCCACTCACTTCTTTTTACTGAGGTCCCTTTAGTCAGGGAATATCCTACTTGGGTGGAAAATTAAGACTACAAGACCTGGCTATCTTCCATGCTGTTTGCTTGATTCAGGAAAACTCACTATCTATCCGGTTTTTAATGGTGAGCATGAGACATACAAGCTCCTTTGCTCCTGACTCCACCATCTTTTTGCTAGTTATTTTCTTCTGAGTAAGTAACACAGCAGTAGGTCAGCAAGTTGGCTGCTTGCATGAAGACGTCTCTTGAGCTCTTCTTTGCTGTATCACCCTGAATTTTGCATTCTTCTTCTTCCCAGTTTGACTTTCATATTGATGTGGGTTTGGGGGTATGTTGAAGGAGGTAAGGCCATTTCTGGTATCTCTATAGGCCCAAAGAAGATGGATAAGTGTTTGGCTCAAATTGCTAAAGAGTGTCTAAACTTAGAATATTGGAATATTTGGTGCTCAGTGCCTTTGGTGTTCAACTTTGGTCCTTATTTTTAATTCAGAAAGAAACAAAAATATAATAGCCTTGTTATAATTTTAAAAGAAAAAAATCACTGGTAGTTGTTATTTTCCTTTTTAAAAGAATTACAATTCTTTAGAAATATATAATAAAAGGTTCTCTTTAAAACGAATTCCTGAGAAATAGGATTCCTCTCTGAAAGTCAGAGAATCTATAATTTAATCTTCCCTTTTTCATATATAACATTTAACTTTATCTTACTAATATTCAAGAATCGAGCATCCATATATTTTTAAGGATCTGAAAACATTCAGCCTAATTTTAAAGATACATTTTCAAGATTCTGTGAAGTCTCAAAGGCCTTTCAGCAGTAATTATTCACTGGCAGAACAACATTCTGTAATCATCTTATTCAGAGCATGGGATGCAAATCTTGACTGGAGTGGATGAAAAAATACTTGGTAATTTATGAACTGTGAAGAAAATAAACCATAGACATTCAGTCCATCAGTGGTCTCGTTAAGAGAGTGGCCTAATGAGCCACACATAAGACCCAGAGTTTCACCTTCTTTCATCAGTAAAATTAACTTGTAGATATAATCTTTATGTCTATTTTCTTTATATCTATTATATCAAATAGCCAAATTTTACCATATAAAGAGAAAACTATCCAGATGACAATAAAAATCATTTTAGCTAAACAAAATATTTAGACTGTTAAAATTACAACTGAAAAGCAGGGTAAAACACATATATATTTTTAAAAACTGTGGAAAGGTCTATAAATCGTACCCTTAAACATTTTGTGTATTTATTAAAAGCATAATACCATTATTTAAATATTAATCTTTCGATTATATTTAAAATGACTGTATTTTTCAACAGTGCTTTGTATATAAAGAAGTTTCATTTATATATAATGTCTAAATCATAGAGAAAATTCAATACTTTCAGGATCACTTTACAGGATCTTGGCTCTTTCTTACAGTAAATGAAGTTCCATTTGTCCATTTAAAATGCTGAATTTTTAATATGTCCCTCTGCTCTTTCTCTGTCTCCTCTTCTCTTCAGCTTGGAGAGTCCAGTTCTCACATCTAAAAATCCATTAGCTTCCACAACATGTCACAGAATAGGAGTGGTGTAGGGAAAAAAAAAAAGAAAAAAAAGAAAAAAAAAAAGCTGCTTGCCTTACTATTGACCTTTGTGTTGAATGTAAGGATAATCTAATTTTATCTTTTCTCATCATGTACATTTTACATGACAGAAGTTCACTAGTATTTTACTTTTACATTTTCAAAATAAAGATTTTGAATTTGACCTGTATTTTCTGCCATAGAGACAACCTTTCTTACAACAACAATTTAGGGCAATTTAGGACACGTCTCCACCAAGTAAAAGCTGGTGGGACATTTAATTCAAACATAATAGTGTTTTTAAAAAGAAATGTGAAGCAATTTCTTTACAGATTTTTAAAGTTAGTTATATAAAACTACTCAGTTTGTAATGTGTACTTTGAAGCCCACATTCTTTCACATATTAAATCCTGCGAACATTTCTCCAAACATGAATATAAACTTTTCTTTAAAAAGTAATTTCAAAGAGAGTAATAAAGTAAGAGTAATAATAGCTATTATGTAATTAGTGCTTACTACATGAGAGCTACTTCTAACACTTTACGTCATGTAAGCCTGACAATAACAGAATGTGGTAGTTACCATTGTCCCCATTTCCAGATGTTAAAACAAAAACTTGAAGAACCTAAGTGACTTGGTAAAAAATAGCTAAGTCAAGAATCCAACCTAGTTATGCTTACCTCCAAAGCCTGACCTCCTTACCACTCCCCTAATATGCTTGTGAATAAATGTAATTTGCAAGCAAATTTCAGGAGCACAAATATTTCATAAAAAGAGTTTTTGTTAAAATGCTTCTCTTATAGATCTAACATTTAAATTAGGCAATGCAAAAATAAAGTCATTTTTCTAACAAAATTTAGATTATATACTGTATCATTATTGCAAAATGCATTACGTCCTCTGCAAAAGGCAGTCTATAGTATCACTGATAATAGTAAGATGAGCAAATCTGAAAAAAAAAAAAAACTTGAAATCTTTCAATGCCTTGGTCTTTTTTTTTTTTTTTCATTTTGACCACATTAATGAGCATACTGTGTAGGCCTATACAGTCAAAATAGGGCATAGTGTAGGTATGTATTAGTGAAGACCTCAAAAATACTCTGTGGTCTAATTTTTACTTCGTTGCAGAATTCTGCACCCAGTCGTCAACCTCTCTTCATCACTATGTAAAACAACTTAATATTAAGTATGTTTTCTCTTCCCCAATCTCTATAGCAAAAAATAAATATTTGAAAAGACAAACTTTTTCAGATGGTATTATAAAGTTTACAATTGCATGCCATCTCTCCAATAGATGGGAAACCACTTTTGTTTTTCTGAATTATTATTTCACAAGAAATGAATTTTTGTTTGAGTGATGAGACAATCATGACTGAAATTACTTGGTGATCATCTTAATCTGCCCAAGTATAAGAAATAAATGACTTAGAAGAAAAAAAGTCACCTGCGAGATTCCAAGAAGAGTCTAGATTTTGTACTAAATGACACATTTATCTGTTTGCATATTCCAAAATTGATTAAAACATATAGAATATGTCTGGAAAGGAGAACGGAGAGAATTCCATTTGGGCACTTTCAGTAGGGGCTAGATATATTTTTCCATGGATTTAATTGAAAAAGAAGCTGCAATTCTACCCCGAACAGAACCTCATAACATTAGGGCTAAGCAACCAGATTAAAATCCTTCATCAGAAGAAGCTCAGAAAGAAGTAGCACCAAAGGGTGAATAACAGTGTATTGAACATGTTTGATTTGTGATATAATAAAACCAAATTACTTTTTTCATTCTTCCTTTAAAATGTATTAGTAGAGGTAACCATCCGTTGCTTCTGCATTAAACATAGAAAGTCCCATGATTTTTCTTTATTCTCTTAGAAAATGAAATACACACAGCTTATACAGTTTGGAGTGTCACCACCTTTTTTTCTTTTTTAGTACTTATATGACCTCGTTATCTTATATATTTAGTGCACAGTGTGATATTTTGATATATGTGTCCATTGTGAAATCATGAAATCAACCTAGTTAATATATTGATCACCTCACATACTTAGCATTTTGTTGCAGTGAGAACATTTAAGATCTAATCTCTTAGCAATTTTTAAATATAAAATACTTTGTTAACTATAGTCACCATGCTATGCAATAGATCTCCAGAACCTATTCATCCTGTTTAACCAAATGTTTTTACCCTTCATCTCAACATGTATCTTCCACCAGCACTGCCAAAAGCTCCATTCCTGGCAACCACCATTCTACTCTCTACTTCTACAAGTCTGACTTTCTAAGATTCCACATAGAAGTGAGATCATGCAGTATTTGTCTTTATGTACCTGGCTTATTTCACTTAGTAATAATGTCCCAAGGTTCATCCATGTTGTTGCAAATGACAAGAGTTCCTTCTTTTTTTAAGGTTGACTAGTATTTCATTGTGTGTGTGTGTGTGTGTGTGTTTGTGTGTGTATACCTATCCACATATACCTATTTACATACATACCTATCCATAAATATCTATTTTATACATATACACATATATGCGTGTATATATATATATATGTATATATTCATCCTTGATTGACACTTAGATTGAATCCATATCTTAGCTATCATGAATAGTACTGCAATAAACATGGGAATAAACATCTCTTTAACATATTAATTTAATTTTTTTTGGATATATACCCAGAGGTGGGATTGTTGGATCGTATGAGAGGGACTTTCTTTACTACTTTAAGGAAATGATCACAGAAACACAAATTACATTCAAAATAAGTAATTACTTAGAAAAAAAGAATAACAAAATGCAATTTTTAAAAAACTTTCAAATATCACAAGCATCACAAAAAAAAATCCCACCATATTTGTTCAATTAGCTGCCTGTAACACTTATGTGATATCTTTTTACTTACATTTTTTGATAATATGCTTTTTATTACTTGCATATGCCAATAACTTCGTGATGTCTTTTTTCATAGACATATAGATAGTTTTGATCATGATATAGCAAAACAATTATTTTAGAATGTTTATTGAGTTTCACATCTTGTTTTAAATTTTTAAGATCATTTCAAATTTAGGGAAAATTCTGTCAAGATTTTTTTTATGTATAAACCATCAGATGTGGAAGAATTTTCCACAGAGAACCTTTCGAGTCTTCATATTACAAATGTTGCTGCTTCTTTCACTATCCATATACTTCTATGCCAAGCACATCGCAAAAACACTCAAATTACAATACGACATGTGACTTTGCACCTTCCTATGATGGTGCCAGATGAGTCTATGCACTGGATGGCAGGACTATTGTAAGGAGCCATTTTATACCATTGGATAGATGGCAATAGGTTCATCATGCATAGAAGCAAGTGAAAACAGAAATATATTTCACAGAAGCTAAATGAAAGCTTCCCCGCCTCAACTTCTCATCTGAGTCCTAAAGCCACTTCCAAGGCACCTGACCAGAATGCAAATGTGGTGGTGGGAGGTCAGAGTGGAAAGAAACAGCAGTGCTAACTGATTGTGATTTAAATATCATTTATGAAATGTATGCAAATCAGTGACCATGTGACCACATTGCTAAAGCCAATTTGAGGTTTGTGGCATTGAGAGGCCCTGAAGCTTGCCTTCACGTCTCAGTAAATCTGCCTCTGTTCTTGGTTTTAACAGCCTATGGCATTAAAACTCATAGGGATCAGCTCATAGACTGGAGAAACTGGATTGTGCTGATCTTTTCCCAGCTCTGTGTTGAATGACTTGATGTTGGTATTTAGAAACTGGTCATGCTGGGAGAATTTACACCACAGAAAAGAATAAATGCTACAAATCAAAGCTGTTCTTTGGAGGAGCAGCCAGTCAGTATTTACCAGAACAGCACTTGTCGTATTGTCACTTCAACCAGTAAACTTAAAAAGTGGAATGACCTGTTCAAGACAATAGTCAATATTCAAAACTGGAATTAACATTAAATATCCCAGTCTCCCTAAATTCCAGCCCTTTTTAAGACATGGGAATGGGGTTAGTGCCTAGGTGCTTTCTCTTGTTCCCAGTTCTCCTTTTCTAGTTACCAACAGCTTCAGACTCTGGGAATAAGGATGAGAAAGATAGCAAAAAAAGTTTCCTATATTCTGGTAGTTTTCCACCATTTAAGCTTAGAGTTTAAACTGTCTCTTTTTCTTATGGGCATTTTTTGTTTTGTTTGTTTGCTTATTTTTATTGCTGATGACTTATGTCCTACAGTTCCATTGAGGTGGGCTGATAAATGTAGTGCTTATTTCTGGAGGGCATTTTCAACTTTTTCCACAGCCCCTAGAAATCTCAGATTTCACCTCCAGCTTTCTGCTACCAGGGTCCTTCTACCCTACAGGTGCTCTCTTGAACAGGACCCCAGATAACCTCTGCTCTTTAGCCCATGTCTAGCCAATCTCTCCTTTTTAGCCTATGTCTAACCAACAGGAAACACGCATACCTCTCTTACCAATATAAATTTTGAAAATTCAGATTGACCTTCATGTAGCCACTTCTGTCTTACTTGCACATATTACACAGTTTTCAGTTTCATGAGTCAGCTATGAGCCTTGTGTTAGTCTTCCAACTTTAGAGAACACATTTCAAACACTTCAAGCAGCTTTCTGGAACTCTCTCTCTCTCACTTTTCTAGAGGGGAAGAAGGTTACATTCTTTGTCTCAATTCTCCTTGACTGGGGACATGTTATGGACTGAATTGTGCCACTCCGAAATTCATATGTTGAAACCCTAACCTCCACTACCTCTGAATGTGACCTGTCACCTCTTTTTCACCCCTTTAAAATGTACTTGAAGATAGGTCTTTGAAAGAGGTGGTTAAGTTAAAATAAGACCATTAGAGTGGGTCTTAATTTAATATGACTGGTGATCTCATAAGAAGAGGAAATTTCGACACACAGAGATACCATAGTTCCTCTTGTGGGTGCACCATAGGAAACACCATGTGAGAACACAGCAAGAAGGCAACCATCTGCAAGCCAAGGAGAAAGGCCTCAGGAGGAACCAAACCTGCTGACACCTTAGTCTTGGACTTCTAGCCTCCAGAGCTGTAAGAAAATGAATTTCTGTTGTTTAAGCCACCCAGAATGTATATTTCTTTACGACAGCCCTAGCAAACTAGTATAGGGTGAAAGTGTGAGATCTTAAGTCCCTTTTTTCTCTGATATCTTTTTCATATCTATAGAGTATGACAGTTTTAGAATTGGTCTTCAAACACTTCCCTAACAATTCAGGGATCTGGCTTTGGAATGCCGAGGTTCTGTCCTCTTGTCACACATGTACCATGAGTTCAGAGCCCATAGCAGGAGGAGGGTGGATGGACACTTGGGAGGTAACAAGACCAGTTTTTCCCAGGAGGATGTAGCCTTATGGTTACCCACTTCCTTATTCGTAATTCTTGTGCTAAAGGCAACCACTATGGTTTTGAGAAATCAAGCTTTCATATTTCTTCATTTACTCACCCATCAAATCCAGAGTACTTTGAGTGTTAAGTAGTAAAAGAATGAATTAGTGTTAACTTGCTAACGTGATACATCACCTTTTAAAGAATCTGAAACAATGTAATTTCTCATATAATTTCTTTCTACTCACACTGGGAAAGATATATTACATTTTTAGAAAATCCATTTCCCATTGATTATTAGTTTGATAAAAATATGAGTAATACAAGTTTACAAAGTAGAAATTGTATTCAGCTTGCAAAATTCTAAGAAATCTATACTTTCAGTTCAGTTTTACTTTTCTCTCTGTTCCTTTTTTAATTTTTTGAAAAAGTTTTGAGGCACAATCTGCAAACTCAAGCATATAATAAAAAGAGCCTCTTTTATTTTCTTAAACTCAGTTTCTGCTGATTGGCAGAGACTTACATATTGTCAATTTGAGGCTACCCTCCTGTAACCAAGAAGTTTGACTCTGCCTCAGAGCATGACCCATATCTCTATTCTTGGATTCCCCTGACCCGTGGTATTTTGCCATTTCACTTCTTCATGTCAGCTAGGAGGTAGGGGCAGAAATCCCCCAGGGTTTGGGGACCTTTGATTACTCCTCTATCCTCTATCCTTTACATTTGAATATTGTTACGTTTCCATCTCTTTGCCCCTTTGTTCTTATGTCACATCTACCTGTAAGCACCTAACCTAAAAATAATGCAAAAAAAATATGTCATTTTCTACAGCAGTGCCTTGAGTAGAAACTCAATCAATGGATTGCTGGAGAAAAAATACTTTCATCTAAGTCTGAGAGTAAAATAAAGGATTTCTATATTTAACTACCCTCTGTGGTTATTGACAAACGTTTTCTTTGCCCGTATCAAGTCATCTGTCACTCAGCACAACCTCTAACATAAATTTTCCCAGTGCTTCTAAATCTACATTTTCCTACTCTAGCTTTTATTAAATAGCCTTATGCCTTACTTTGTGGAGAAAATTAATGTCTCTCATTTGTGATCTTCTTTAATCTCTCACTCCTGTATCTTCAGGTCCAACTGTATCTATATCTATCTGGCATACGTTTCTGTACTTTTCAATGGAAAAAATTCCGCAAGCTCCTGTTCAGGGTTAACTTCAGCTCAGGACCTAGCTCCACAACATTCCCTTCACTTCTCCAACACAGTATTCCCTCACTAAGCTTTGTGTTCATCCTTTCCCTCTCAACTAGACAATTATTATTGTATATTATATACAGGTTATATTAGTTTCTAATGACATACCAAATTACCACAAACTTAGTGGTTTAAAACAACATACATTTATTATTTTACAATTTTGGAGGTGAAAAGTCCAAAATGGTCTTATTGTGCTAAAATCCAGGGCTGTATTTCTTCTGGAGATTCTAGCTGACAATGTATTCTCTTGCCGTCTCCAACTTCCAGAAGCCACCTGTATTCCTCAGCTCATGGCCCCCTTCCTCCATCTTCAAAGCCAGCAACATTGCATCATTGAATCTCTCTCACTCTGATCCTAACCCTCTGGTTTCCTTCTTATAAGGACATTTGTGGCCACATTGGGTTCACCAAGTAATAATACAGGATGATAGTCACATCCCCAAATTCTTAACGTAATTATATTTACAAAATCCCTTTTGGTTAACATATTCAGATTCTGGAGATTAGAGCATGGAAATCTCTAGCAGGGAAGAGGTGTTATTCTACCTACCACACAGTCAATCAACATGCTCAATAGCTTTATAGTTAGGAGCTTTGATTTTATATTTATACTGACCTTTGTTTAATTCCAGTCCTGTAAAAAATAAAAAATATAAAAACTTCTGTCACTTGGGTAGACTACTTAATCTTTCTAAGTCCCAGTTTCCTCTGAATAAAAAAAAATAGTGCCTACCTGGTAGGTTGATTGTTAGAATTCGGTAAGAAAATGTCTATAGTATTATTTGCATAGTGTCTGGCACATAATAAATACTCAAAAATTTTTAGGTATTATAATATTTGTTACCAATAACTGAAAAAAATAGTTACACCTCATATCTTCAACTATTTTACAATCTGAGCTTATACGGCCTTTGATCATCTTCTTTCCTGAGCACTAGCATGTTATACTTCATTGTTTCTTTAAAGCAGTAACATGAGTTTCCAACAGCCTTGGAATTTCTCATTAGCCATCTCTAATATGCTGTACAGTACTGCATGTTCTAATTTATTTGGATTATAAATATTCCCTCAGAATTCATAAACATTATAAAATGTCAAACATGATAGACAATAATATAAATTTCCCATGCATTTCTTATCTTCTCAGCTAGATAGCCCTTCTAAGCAAATATTTTCAAAGGCAATTCTGGTTAAGCATTATTTTAACCTTCTTTAAGATTAAGTCAACTTAATTGTCTTTAGTCTATCTAATTTCTGACAGCGTCTCATTTATAACCTTTTTCACATTTTCTTATCTCTCATTAATGACTTCATTTAAATGCTGCTCTCCCTCAAATACACATGCCCACTGCAGTGGTGCCCCTTAACCACTCCAGTAAAAGGGTAACACCTATCCTACCCAGGAATAGAATGTTGGGAAATAAAACAAAATAATGAATGTAATGGTGCTTTGAAACCCATTGAGAGTTCTACAAATGTAGGACATAATACTGTTTATGACTTATAATTGTTATTAATAGAGGTTCAATATGTTGAAGTGGCTAAGTATTACTATATCTCACCACATGCATACACCCGTATCCTAAAACTTTGCTAGCTATACATATTAATAATTTTATGACAAAAAGGGGTTCCCTTATATTACCATTTATTTTTTCTTAGACGAACATTATCTTAAGCCCTGTCAGAATACAAAACAGCTAATATCCATGTTCACATAAAACATTCATGTTGGTTTAAAGGTAGTACTTTAAGCAAAGTGCATGTATGAGTATTATATATACATGTATATGTATATTCATACACATATAGTGATAAATATTGTAAAGAAAAATGAGTAGAATAGGAAGCTATAGACCCCAGAGTATATTACAGAAGCCTTCTAATTCATTATGGTATTTGAGGATGGGCTTGAGGGAGGATTTGAAGGAGCCAGGTAATTAACTGGGGAAGAATACGCTAAAGATAATGCAAGAGGTAAATACCCTCAAGTGGGCAGGTATCCTTGGTTTGTATGAGGGATAGCAAAGAGGCAAGTATAAGTAAATAAGGGAAAGAATAGTTGAAGATAAAGAGGTAGTCAAGATTCAAATTATTTGCAGTCTCGAAGGCTATGATAAGAACTTGGGGTTTTATTATGAATGCAGTTAAATTCTGATTGCAGCAGAATGACATAATCATACCCACATTTTTAAAGGACCACTAAAATTGTTTTGTGAAAACATTGGTTGGCGGCGGGTACAGGAATTGAATTAGGAAAACCAGATAGTATTTTATTGCAGGAATTCTGGTAAGAGATGATGGCAACTTGGTCTGTGGTTTTAGCAAGTGGTAAGAAGTGGTCAGATCTCGATTTATTTTAAACTCAAATCCAGGAGCACATGCCCTCGTATAAGATAAGTGATATAAGAGAATGTCATAAGTCAAGGATAACTACAAGCTTTCTCATCCATATAACTAAAAAGAAGAAGTTTTCCTGAGCTGTGATAGGAATCCCATGGAAGATAAATAAATGGTTTTCTCAGTTAAAATAAAGAATAAATCAGGTTTCAGGTAGACACACATTGCCTGAGGTGGTCTGGGATTATAATTGGCCAAGATGGGGAAGAATTAAGAGCATTCAGGTAGTTCATCTCTGAACACAAAAAGTTGAAATACTAATGAATGTCCATTTGGAGGTGACAGCAGTATGTTAAAAATATAAAACTGGATTTTATGAAGAAACTTCTGTGTTGGCATTATACATTTGACAACTGTCAGTGCAAATAAGATATTTAAAGCTATACGACACGATGAGATCATCTGGAACACAAATGTAAACAAAGAAGAGCACATGTTCAAGAACTGAGCCAATTTATTTTGATGAGTATATTGAAGCCCAGACTAATTAAGAGACTTCTACTAGTTCAGCTAATGATCCCTAGGGCCAGGATTAGAAATGCACTCTCCTTAATATCCAGCCAGTGTTCTTTCCAGTAAAGTTACCGCTGCCTTGAATTAAAATGTAAATATGTTTCCTACATGGACACACATTAACACATAAAAAAAATCTTGAGATATCCACATAGTTCCAAGTAGGTAGATTCCCAAAGGTGTCCTTCACCTCTGAATACTATGCAACCAACAGTCATTGTGCAGAGCAGATTAACGTATCTTAAGAAAATTTACTTTCATCATATTATAACTGCTTCCAAAGGACAGATATCTACTATAGCTCCCAAATAAAAATTCTAAACAGAAATGTACAAGTTTTATTGCATAAAGGAAACAAAATGATCTTTTTTTTTTTAAATGAAATAATCATTTTCCTCTTGTATCACAGTGAAATTAATCTTATGTCTCATAATATGGTTTGGATGTTTGTCCCCTCCAAATCTCATGTTGAAATGGGATTCCCAGTGTTGGAGGTGGGGACTGGATTAGATCATGGAGTTGAATCCCTTGTGAATGACTTAGTGCCATTCTTTGGATGATTAGTGAGTTTAAGCAAGATCTGGTTGCTTAAAAGTATGTGCCACCTCCCCCTTCTCTCTCTCACACCGTTCTTGCCATATGATGCTCCTGTTCCCACTTCACCTTCCACCATGATTGTAAACTTCCTGAGGCTCTTGCCAGAAGCCTAGCAGATGTTGGTGTTATGCTCAAACAGTTTGCAGAACTCTGAGCCAATTACAATTTTTTCTTTGTAAATTACCAAGCCTCAGGTATTGCTTTGTAGCAACAAAAGAACAACCTAACCACACTCATCCAGTAGATAGCACGTTCTTGAATAACAAAGATCTTTTGTTATAGATCTTTTGTACCGTCCTGATTATACAGCCTGCTACCTGTTTGGTTTTCAACAAATAGTTTCTGAGGAGACAAATGAAAGAATGAAGGAAGAAACAAAAAGATTTAAAAATTGTGCTATCAATGTTAAAAAGTGTCTTATTCAGTTCAGGTTGTTATACCAGCTAGGTGGCTTATTAACAATAGAAATGTACTTCTCACAGTTCTGGAGGCTAAAAGTCCAAGATCAGGGTGCCAACCTAGTAAGGTTCTGGTGAGGGCCATCTTGCAGGTGGCAAAATACTGACTTCTCATTGTATCCTCACATGACAGAAACAGGGTGAGGGAGCTCTGTGGGATCTCTTTTATAAGGACACTAATACTCTTTATAATGGCCCTACTTCCATGACCTAATTACCTTCCAAAGCTGCCACTTCCTAATACCCTCACATTAGGAGTTCAAGATATAGAATTTGGGAGGTACACAAATATTCAAATATTCAGTCCATTGCAAGAAGTTTGAGCATCACGTTATTTTGTTAATTGACTCTCATTAGTTCATTCTGAGAAAGGAGTTTCAATCAAGCAGGGGAGAAGGAAAAGATAGCCACCCTACGAAATAGAAGGAAAAAAAGAGGAGTAGTTAGGAGAAAAAAAGAGAAAAAAATTCAGGATAAGAAGAATTTGGAAACTTTGAATTAACATAAAGAATTCAGTCAAGATGGGAGAGCCTGAAGATACAAACAAGTGCAATGGATTTCTTAAGAATGGAAGGAAATCAAACAGGAGAGGTTTAAACTGTTTGGGGCATGGAGTAGTTAGACTTGAAAGAGTAGAGAAAAAAAAATTATGAAACAAGAGGAAAGTAAATAAATCAAAAAAACTTTGAGATAGAAAACAATTCAAGGAGAAAGATGAAACTAATCTTAGTGATGTAGGAAGTCAAGTCATTCTTTGAGAGTGAATAAGATGGTGGTGTCATTGGATATGAGAAGTCTCAGAAAGTATCAGAACAACCTCTGTTAGAACTATGGTAGGAAGCCCACAAGAAACAGATAAATTGAGGTCTAAGTTGTAATAAAGGATGAGAACACTATGAATTGGAATTGGATACAATATAATTTCAACCCAAGTTTAATGAAAAGGCTTTACTAGCACTAACTGTACAAAAAAAATGTACAAGTACAATTGAAAATCCAATCTTTGAGTGGATAAAGAGATTTCAATGCAAACACATCACAGATAGGTCACTTCCTGAGCCATTTACTGTGTAATAGTCTCTAATCTAAACATATCTCACCAATTAACTCACTTAATTCCTTCAAGAATTCAATGAGACAGAATCTATTATCATCTCTGTTTTAGATATGAGTAACTGATGCATAGAAATGTTAAGCTATTTAATCGTGGCAAACTACTAAGCCAAGCTTTGAACTAGAAGTAACCTGAGTTCAAATGCCAAGACATTATACATAAAGTAATGAGTGAGTGACCAAAAATAAATATGTGCATATGTGTGTCTGTGTGATACCATTTTTTTTCTTCCAAGGATATGATAGCAAGAAAAATTAACAAGGTAAATTGAAAGCAGATCAAGGCTGAAAGATGGTAGAATAAATGGTATTACTTTAGAGGTCAATATTCAAGTAAAAAATAGCACACATAAAGGCTTAAGAGATAAAAATTTCATGTATATGTAGTATCAACATATTTCACCTCAGCAAAGCAATAATACTTTGCTAAAAGCTACTCTTTAATAGCACCAAGTTATCCTGTCCCAAGAGGAATAACAGCCCCATGTGGAGATGGAACCCTATAATAATACATCAACCTGTTTTGACTTTACTTGGATTTATGGAATTATATTTATGGTAAAAAGATACATTTGAAAATAAAACAATATGTGCTTTTATTCATGATCTTGGAAGAGATATTTGCTATTATGGAGAAAGTTTTCAAGCAGGCACATACAAAATTAATATTAATGCCTAAAAATATTTTGTGCTAACAAATTATCTGAGAAGGGTTATGCATGCATGGAAGATATTTCACAGGTATGTTGGTAGAAATTGCCATGGTGATTATAAGAATCATAACTATGGAAGGACTTTTGCCTTCTATGATCACATTCATAGACCTTTATTTCAGACAATTACTTCAGATTATTGAGTTTTTACGTTCTTATATAGGCCAATTATAATGTAGGAACTTAAGAATATCAAATATGATTTCATTATATTAAACATATTGGCAAAAATATGAACATATACTTTCTGACACATCTGGAACTCATCCAAGCTGTCACCTTCATTCTTATTCATGATTTGAAATGATATGAAGGGATAAATGGAAGGAAAATCTAATTCACATTGGAAAGGAAGACGAGAAACTTAAATGACAACTAAAATAGATTTACAGCAAAATATTCAGTAAATGAAACAAATGTATATAAAATCATAAAGAAATATTTAGAATATATGGTAGCATGCTTAAAATGTTTATATATAGTGTTTATATATTTAATATTTACACATTCATTATTTGATGTTCAAATAACCTAAAAGAATAGGCCAGGCCTAGTGGCTCATGCCTGCAATCCCAGCTCTTTGGGAGGCCGAAGGGGGTGGATCACCTGAGGTCAGGAGTTCGAGACCAGCCGGGCCAACATGGTGAAACCCCGTGTCTACTAAAAATACAAAAATTAGCTGGGCGTGGTGGCAGGTGCCTGTAATTCCAGCTACTCGGGAGGCTGAGGCAGGAGAATCACTTGAACCTGGGAGGCAGAGGTTGCAGTGAGCCAAGATCATGCCACTGCACTCCAGCCTGGGTGTCAGAGTGGGACTCCAACTCAAAAAATAAAAAAAGAATAGCTTGGAGGAATAAAAGAAAACATCGGTGCATGGTAGGTGACATACAGTTAACTCTAAAAGCACCAACAAGATGAATTTCATTCATTTTATGACTACCATGAAGATCATTAGGACTTTGGCTTTATTCAGTCCTGGGTCAATTGCCGAAGTATAAAAGATCTGAATTTGTTTCATATTTTTTTTCCAAAAGCTTTTTTATCTTTCTGTAATTTACATCCTCCTAAATGTTTTTCTTCTGTATCCTAAAAGCAAGGTAGCTTGATTTCAGTTTGTTGTTAATATATTTCTGCTAAGCTTAGTATGTCCTCCAGGATAGTTGCAACTTGAATAAGATTTTATATTATACAAAGTTTTGTCTGTATACACTATTATAAAATACTATAATAAAAAAGCATTTTGAAAATAAAATCAAGTAAATAATAATCTCCACATAGTAGGCCAACAGTTGTTTTTGTAATTTGTATTACCCTTTAGTCTTTGACTATACACATACATGATGTTCATACAATTTTGAACTTTATTTTCTTTTTCTTGTTTTATAGTAAGTTGTAAGATTTTCACATATTGGATTATTTTCCACTATTTTGGTAAGTTTTAAAAAACACCAAATAATGGCAAATAAAATACCAGAGATGAAAAGTTTTGTTTCGCTTTTTCATTTTTGAACTGATTCAAAAATGGTCTTAAGAAATCCATGTGTAGAAACAGTTTTTAAAATCTTCGGAATTACTGTCACACTGCTTTTCAAAAGCTTTGCACCAATTTACAATGCTATTAGTTAAGGTAGAAATACACTAGTTTTACTCAACATCATTAGCATCAGGTATTGTGTTTGTTAATTTAATAGGTTTTAAATTTACCTTTTTATTGTTTTAATTTGCAAGTCTTTTGATTACTACAGAGTGTGTTCATGTTAGCAGATGCTTATTTTCCACCTGGATTTTTTTTTTAATGAATTGTCTACTCTTGTCAGTCACTTTTCTACTGTTATCTTAACACTGTCATAACTTTGAATATGTATTTTGTGTTTAAGACAACATCTATTTTTTAATGTTTTAGACATTTCATCTACTTCTCATTTTCTATATTGGTTAAATTTGTTTGTACAAACTAGATGAGATTCCCAGTGACTTTAATTTTTTTTTTTTTTTTGACCATGGCAGTGCAGGCACTGAGTGACATTTTGAAGACAGCTGAATCTTTCTGGCACTGTCCAAAGAATACCAAACAGGCAGCAACCTGATATGCTTCTTTAGCATCAATAACATCATAGATTTCAGTAATGGGCTCTTCTATGCAGGTTTATAGACATGCTGACTCCTGAAAATAAAATTCATTCAAATAAAAATGCCTATTTAATAAAGGCACTGAGATAATGTATCAAAAATAGCTAGTTTAAAGAACTGAGAAGGAAAGTCATGGTAAAGTTGTAAAATGTATAGTTTCTCTAATTGGGATAAAGTCAGGAAAAGATGAGTAATATTTTAATGCTGGGAGAATGTAATCAAAATATAAAGAAAATAACTATAAATAATCAGATGACCTGAAGAAAAATTAAGACAAATATCAAGCATTTTATAATCAGCTCATATACATTATGCATACAAGAGAGCAGCTATTATTGACATTTTGTTTGAGTGATTTTCTAAACTTTTTTAATGGATAGAGAGGAAAGCAGAGATCTAGTAACTCAAAGTTCACAGAGCAAGTTAGTGAGTCAACATCTAGCTCATAAGTATAGTATTTTTGTTTGCTTTCAACTTCAGTTCCAAGTCTTCCCTCAAATTATCCACAATATTTCAGAAGGCATAATGGAAAATAAAGTAAGTATATGGGACAGATGCAAAGAGTCTGAGAGAAATAGCAAGCAAATAAAAAAGAAACGATAAACAGTGAGAAACATTCTTGCAGTGGTTTCAATGCTTTGGTTAATTAGAGAACTGAGTTCAGTGAAACCTGTTTCAGTGCACCTGGTGAATCCAACGCACATCTCAAATCTCACAGCTGGAAAAATCATCTTAATTTTACTTTTTTATTCTGCTTATCTGAAGGTAGGGTTCATCTTGGTTAATACTTTCACTAAGAATTAATTGGTGAAATTGTACTACCTTCATTGGTGCTTTTGGTTACGTGTTTCCATTTTTTTCATGAGATGATTATATGTAAAGTTTTATATAATAAATACACTATTTGCAAGTTCTCCTTGAAGACTTCATGGGACATCTGACTAACTTAGAGTTAGCACAATTCCAGGCTTAAACCGACTTGATGTCTAACTTACTTGCTAATGATTCTGTAATATTAATAAACATTTTTTTCCATCCTCTAAATTCTTCCTTCTGTTTTTCAGTATTCTTTCACTCTACTTTTTTTCTTCTCAGGAACTCTAAGTTTTCTGGTTGAATTTGTATTTAATCTCTGGTAAAATTATCAGCATCCTAGAAGATATTTTTCAAAACAATATTTTTCTATGTTTTAGTTTTACTTCAACCACCCCAAAGCTGATTCTGCTTTCAGATACCTGGACTTAGATGGAGTTAAGATTCAGGGAACTAGGATAGAACTGAGAAGCTCAAAAAGGGAAAAAAATGAAGTGGTTGTAAAAAGGAACACCACCTTGGGTAATCTTTTGAAGTCAGCAGAGAGAGAGAGAGAGAGAGAAAGGAGAAAGAGAGAAAAAGGAGAAAGAGAGAGAGGGGAAAAAAGAGAGAGAAAAATACTTTCTAATTGCTAGGACTTAATGGTTTATCCCCAAATGCAAATACCGTAAAGACATTTTAGTTCCATCTTCATATTCTCTCCTGATATTTTCAATGAATTCAGTAAGTTGAAGAGTATTTATGTAAACCTAAAGTAGATATATGGCTGTTTTCATGACAAAATCATCACCTATTTTGGCTTGTGAGAAAATTTGGCAATTCCAATGGTTAAGATAATAGATTCAAATTAGATCCTGATGTTGAAAGTCTAGATCTTAGATCCTAGGGAATATGATATCAAGAAATGTTAGGTAACAATTCCAAAATAAACGTGAACACATAAGAAAAAAAGAAACATCTCATATCTGTCACATAGAATAAGCCAAAATAGAAAAAGAAAGATAAAAGAGTAGAAATAATACAAAATATGAGGAAAAGCACAAAAAGAAGCAAAGTAATTTTAAGTAGCTGAACGTTACAACCCAAGAAATTTTAAGAGAATATGGTGGTGAAAAGAAAGATTTAATATACTTAAGTGTTTGCTGTTTCACAAACTAGAAAAATAAATTAGCTACAACTCAAATAGCCCTTATTTGTTCTCTTTCCTTTGAAAGTAACACTTTTGCCTGGGGCTCTAAAACCTCCAGAATTTACTTAGAGTAGGTATCAGTGACTGTTTTTGGTTGCTTGGTCAGGTCAAAAAGGTGAAAGAGAATAGTTAACGGGCAATTCAGATGTCTGCCAGTTCGGGGTCACAGATTTGTTTTTATTTTAACATCTCTCAACTAGATGCTGAAAATTCGGTATGAGACAGATGATATGTAGAAAGTAATTAGCACCTTCAAGCAAACATGGATTAGGGGGCAACCTTGATGTTGGCATGAGGAAACTGGACCCTAGTAAAAGGTACATTGAAGGAAATGTACTGACGCAAAGCCCCTAGTAGATTTACAACAGTCTTGACATGCTACTTACTGTTAATCATCCAAGCCAGGAGTTACTAAACTCAAAGCTATTGGCTACGTTGATAAAGACAGGGTCTTCCTGGCTGATGCAGGAGTTACTAAACTCAAAGCTATTGGCTACGTTGATAAAGACAGGGTCTTCCTGGCTGATGTGGAAAAATGAAAGAAAGAAAAATAAAGGAAAAACAGAACCTAGCACAGTCTTTTGAAATGAATTTGTAGCAACTAGCAGATTCTGTGGGAGAAACTAAACTAACTAGAGTAATAACAATCCCAATTCTAAGAAAATTAAGTCCTAGTTTGTTTTTTGTTTATTTATTTATTTATTTTTGAACTACTGTCTCGCTCTGTAGCACTCTCCAGCATTGAATCAAATCCGCAGGAACCTCATTTTTCTCATTTAAAAATGAAACCATTTGGACATGGTGAAGATCAAAATCCCATGGTTTTCAATGACTCTGAGATTCTCTACCCTATAATCCTTTCCATTGGAATAACTTACATCATAAAAATTCCTAAACTATGGAAATTTAATACTCAGATCATATTAAAGGCTCTCAGTCTCTTCCATGACACTCATGAATAAGAATAATAAATTATAAATCATACTATATACCCAACTAAGGATACATGTTAGAATTATTTATTTTCCATTTTCTTCATGTGTAAATAAACTTGCTTAACAAGTATTGTGCATAGCCTATGAAATATTATACAGTCATAAAAAAGAACAAAATCATGTCCTTTGCAGCTGGAGACTATTATCCTAAGTTAATTAATATAGGAACAGAACACCAAATACAGCATGTTCTCTTTTAAAATTGGGAGCTAAACATTGGTTACTCATGTACGTAAAGATGGCAACAATCAATACTGGATACTACAAGAGTGGGGATATGAGGAGGGAGACAATGATTGAAAAGCTAACCATTGAGCACTAAGCTCACTACCTGGGTGATGGGATCATCCATATCCCAAACCTCAGCATCAGACGAATATACCCTTGTAACAAACCTTCACATGTACTCCCTTTTTTCATTCTAAAATAAAATTGGAAATTATTTTTTTAAAAAATGCAAGTAAACAAACAGAAAAACAAGTATGGCTCATAGAGACTTTTTAAGATTGTTTTAAATGTAGTAAAACATACTTATAATATGGCATCAGGAAAGCAAATTAAAATTGCCTTATTATGCACTTTTCTTAATTGGTTCTTTTATTTTTCAGGTGTGATAATTTGTGTAGCATATCAACTGGGCATAACAATAGCATACTATGACTTGTTATACCTTCTTATAAACTCATTTATTTATTTATTCATTCATTCCATTTATTTAGTAAGCACTTACTAGGTGCTACTAACTACGCAAGGCATGGCAGAGGGTGAAGGAGGCTTAACTACAAATAAGATAATTCTTGACTTCAAGGATATTAGTATTTAATTAATTTTTCTATTCAAAGTATGAATCTCCCAGGGAAAACTCAATTATTTTAGCTATTTTTTCTGGTAATGAATGTATTTCTTTATTTAAAAACAATAGAAGTGATAATGCTACTTCCACTTAGACAATATTCTTTTATATTACTTTCACCACTCATTTTTCTCAGCAATCTCGCAGACCTATTTTATCACCAAAACGCATATATCAACAAGCTTAATGTTATTTTGACAACAAAGAAATCACATATACTTCCCCCTTCATTGATCAATTGTTAGGAGTGGAAATGCTGGTAAGATGCACATCATAAAAATAATAAATAATACATTTTAATGTCTGAGCCAAAGACATTTGGATGGACAAGTGAAAAATATATATATATTAAAATAAGGAGGTGATAGCATGCCTATGAGAAATAGAAAATTAAGGAACAAAGAATAAGAGGCAATTGCAAAGCAAGGGGAATATTTAAAAATAATAATAACATAACACGGGTTTTACTTGTTTAGGAAAGATGCTAGAGAACTACTGTAGTATCTATTAGTAACAAGAGATGAAGCAACTTGATGAATGTTGCTCTGGGCCCTAGTTCATCCACAGAGGTCATGGAGGCGTATTGCTGATATGGGAGGGATAAAAACATCGGGGAAAATAAGTACAGCACCAGTAGTGACGGACTGAATCTGATTACAGAATCTATATTTCTATCATTCTCTAACTTACTTATTGGACTGTGGCTATAATTATCTCGGTTAACATCACTGAGTTATTAATTTAATTTTATATGAAAGAAAAAATTGTAAAAGACAATAAAATACATTTTGATGACATAGACTTTCAATAAATCTGTTTTATTTAAAAATGTAAAGAATCAGTAAATATTATTTTGTTTTCCTTGGACAGAGGTTCTACAAAAGCCAGAGGCTCTCTGGGTGACTGTTCTAAGCCTTGAATTGCCTAATCATGAATATCCCAGACATTTCAGAGGAATTTAATTAGGAAGGGCTACGAATCCAGGGGGAGTAATGAGCTATACTTTTCACAAAGAAAAACATCAGGTCCAGGCCTTTAATTTTCTGTAGATTCTTCATATCTTCATAGGTTTGATTTCCCATGAGTTTTAGGAGTTATTTATTGGTGCTTTCAAATTTTCCTCCTCTTATTGATTTCTAGTTTCCTAACGTTGTCATCAAAAAATATACTTGAAATGATTTAAATCCTCTTAAATTTGTTAAGATTTGGTTTTTGGCTTAACATATGACCTATCCTGGAGAATATTCCATGTTTCCTTGAAAACAGGATGTATTCTGCTATGGAATGTTTTCTGTAAAACTGTTAGGTTCATTTGTTCTACAGTACGATTTAAATCTGCTGTTTTTATTTTTGATTTCCTTTCTGGATGACCTTTCCATTGTTGAAAGTGAGTTAGGGCCTTTATATAACTGCATTGCTGTCTACGTCTCCTTCAGTTCTGTTAATATTTCTTTATGTATTTAGGTGTTCCAATGATGGGTGCATATATATTTAAAATTGTTATATAACCTCTTGATGAATTGATCCCTTTATCATTATAGAGTGATCATCTTAGTCTCTTGTGACTGCTTTTGACTTAAAATCTTTTTTTCTGATATAAAAATGGCTACTTCTGTTCTCTTTGGGTTACTGTTTGAATGACATGTCTTTTTCTATCACTTTACTTTTAGCCTATATGTGTTCTTCAGGTTAAAATGAGTCACTTGTAGGCAGCATATAGTTGAGTCTTGTTTTTTTTAAATTCAGTTATTCACTCTATGCCTTTTGATTGAAAAATTATTCCCTTTACATTCAAGGTAATTATTGATAGGTAAGGAATTACTACTGCCGTTTTGCTAATTGTGTTCTTAATATTTTGAAGTCTCTGTTCACTTTTTCCTTTCTTGCCCTCTTCCTTTAAAATATTATGATTTTTTTGTAGCAGAATGCTTCAATTTATTTCTCTTTATGTTTTGTGAATCTACTATAGGTCTTTTCTTTGTGGTTACCATGAGGCATACATAAAACATTTTATAGTTCTCAGTCCATTTTAAACTTATAACAACTTAACTTCAACCACATACATAATCTCCTCACTGTATTGATTCCAACCGACACTTTACAGACCTCAATTCATCATTTCTTTGACACATGTCAATTACTATGTAAAAAGTCAAACACAATGTCAAAGTACTTCAACTCTCCCCACATTTTATGTTACTGATGTCACAATTTACATATTTATACATCATGAATCTATTAGAAATTTATTATAGCTAGAATTACTTTTAATACTTTTGTCTTTCAACTTTTATACTAGAATTAAAAGTGATTTAAGCACCACCATTACAATACGAGTATTCTGAACCTTACCATAGTTTTTATCTTTACAGTCACTTTATACTTTCGTATGTTTTTATATTTTTAGTTAACATCCTTTCATTTCAACTTGAAAAGCTTTCTTTTAGCATGTTTTTTAAAGCAGGACCAATGTTTATAAACTACCACAGCTTTTGTTTTTCTAGGAAAGTCTTTATCTCTTTTTAATTTCTAAAAGAAAGCTTTACCACGTATGGTATTCTAGTTTGGCAAGGATTTGTTTGTTTGTTTGTTTTTTAGGTAATTTGAATACATTATCCAGTTCCCTGCTGGCCTGCCTGCAAGGTTTCTGTTGAGAAGTCTCCCTATAGTCTCATGAACATTCTTTTATATATGATGAGTAGCTCTTATCCTTCTGCTTTAAAAATTCTCTTTTACTTTTGAGAATTTGATTATATTGTGGTTTGGTGAAGATTTCTTTATATTTAATCTATTTGGGGCTAGTGTCTTCATGGATCTGGATGTGCGTTTTCCTCCCCAGATTTGAGAAGTTTTTGTTTTTAATTATTTAAATAACCTTTCTACCCCTTTATCTTTCTCTGCTCCTTTTGGGACTCCTCTAATATGTTCATTCATCCACTTGATGCTGTCCTATAGTTGTGTTGGGTTTCTTCACTTTTTTTGTTGTTGTTGTTACTCTGCATGACTAATTTAAATGACCTTTGAGCTTGCTGATTCTTTCTTCAGCTTGGTCAAGTCTGCTGTTGAAGCTGTCTATGACGTTTTTCAGTTCTGTCACTGTGTTATTTAGCTCCAGAATTTTTGTTTGATCCTTTTTTATGATTTTTATCTCTTTGTTGAAATTTTAATTTTGTTTGTGTGTTTTTTCTGATTTTGTGTATTTGTCGATGTGTTCTCTTGTAGCTCACTGAGTTACTTTAAAATAATTATTTTCAATTTTTCATCAGGTTATTCATAGATATCTTTCTTTAGGGTCATTTATTAGTGCTTTATTTTGTTTGTTTGGTGGTGACATTTTCCCCTGGTTATTCATTGTCCTGTGGCCTTGCATTGATGTCTGCACATTTTAAGAAGCAGGCAACTCATTCAGTTTTATTACTAACTGGCTTCAGTAGAGAAAGCCCTTTACCATTCAGCTAATTCAGATATTCTGGGTGAGCCCATGTTTCAGAGGTCACAGTTAGGTTTAGTGTTGGAGTCCTCAGGTGAACCAGCATAGTCCCTGTGTTAGCAGGTTGACAGGCCTGATGCCTGAGTTTACTGAAGTGGACCTGCAGCATGGGTTTATGTGGCCAGGCCTAGTGATTGAGTCTGTAGTGGTGGGCCCAGATTTTAGATACACAGGGGATAGCCGGATGCTGGTTTCCACTGGGGAGAGCCTGCAAAATGTGTCCCTGGGGGCAGGTCTGGAGGCTATGTTCACCAGGAGGGTACTTGCAGCCTGCATTTGTGGAGGCCAGCCTGAAGCCTGGGTACACAGGGTCCCACCAGTGCTGGGGTGGCTTCTGAGCCTGAGTCCAAGGGAGCTGGCTTACTGTTCATTCAGACCTGGTAGTTAGGTCTATGAAGATGGGCTTGGTTGTGTGTTTGCAAGGGCTGGTCTGGAGCTTGGGCCTGTAGGGTGGCCTTGTGCCTGGGACTTTTGGGTCAGTACTGGACATTGGGTCCATGGGAGTCAGCCTGGTGCTGGGGTCTCCTAGGGAATACCTGAACCCTAATTCAGCTAGAGCAGGCCTGACTTTGTGTCTGCTAAAGCTTGAAGCCATGGGGGCTGGTCTGGAGCCTGAAGCTATAGGGGCCAGCCTGGTGCCTGGGCTGAGGGTGCTGGCTTGGTGCTGGGGGCTGGCCTGGAGCCTCAGTCTGTGGGGATTATCCTAGGCCCTGGGGCCTAGGGGGTAGTCTGGGCCTAGGGGCTTACTGGGTTTTACCCAGTTTACTGGGGCTGCCCTGATGTTGGGGACTGCAGTGAAGTCAGGTGCTTACTTTATTCACCTTCTTCCACAATAAGGGCATATCTCTCCATGCTTTCTGCCCTGGCTTAGGAGCAGAATGACATGGGTAATGTACAATTGTTCTTCTTACCCTCTTTAATGCATGTCTTCATGTTTCTGTGCTCTAACCCAGTGCTGTAATCTCTCATCTGGATTCCTTCATTCTTAAGAAGGTATTTCACATTTGGATAGTTGTTAAAATTGATGTTTCTTTGAGGGAATAAACAATGGACTATCCTGTCACATCACTGCTGATGTCACTCTCCAGAAAATTATCATTTTAAATAGTCTTTCACATCTCTATATTAACATGAACTCAAAATGGTAAAATATGGACAATTTTGATTCTGTATTAATCACAGAGCAGGAAGAGAACTTAGACATTATGCATTTCAATTTTTTTTTTTTGCATTTCAATTTTCTACTTTCTTCTTCAATATATTTAGATGAACATCAACTGATACTCACTTTTATTATGGACAGTATAAAATAATGGTTAGCAATGTAGGCTATGGCTTTGTGGTGATTCCTACCTTTGCTAACTTGTTCAACCTTAGATAACTTATTACTTTACTTTTGAAATATTAGACAAATAACTTATTTAATGTATTTTCCTCATCATTTCCTTATTTATAAAATGGAGCTTATAATAGTACCTACCTCACTGCTCAATAAGACATTAAATGAGTAAAGCACTTAAAACCATGTCTGACTTATGGTTAATTCTCCAAAATTTTTAGCCATTATTAAAAATGTACCTTGTAAATTCACAAGGTAACCCAGTAATTTGTTGAATACTTTTTCATATGGGAAACTATTCTATATATTGTGTCAAACCTGCCTGACTGGTACTTTGGTCCCATTTATATTTTCAAAGGAAGAAATCTAGTGTTTTTTTATTTTTTAACCTTATCATGCATAAGTAGAAAGCAGTACTCATGTCCACTCTCTTTTGTGTGTGTAGGGTGAAACAAATCTAGTTCTTTATTATTTTTTGAAATTCTTTAGCATTCTCTCTGCCTTCCTCTGTTTAAGTCAAACTCACCAATATTCTTTAAACATAACATTAGGAAACAATATGGAAACATATACCCATTTATCAGCATTTTATATTAGAAACCCTGTCTACCTTGATCTACATCTGCTTAAGATTGCATTGGTTGTTTAAATACACATCATATTTTTAAAATTTTTATTTACTCATAAAATCAGAAAATAGAATATCAGAATTAGAAAAGACTTTAGACAGAAAATTATTCAAATCCCATTTTTACCAATGAAGAAATAACAACAGGACTAAAGAGGGGAAATTATTTTAGTACAGTTATTGAGCTCATTTTCCTAGTCTTGGTGGAGCCAGGACCAGGTCCTCAAGTCCAAAATCTGCAGGTCAGTATCTTTACCTCAGTGCCAAATTTAATCAAGTGCTAGTCTTCTTGTTGAGAGGCTCTAAAATTATACACAGTTGCCACAGGAAAGAGCACTATTGAGAGGTGACAGCGTGCTGGCAGCCCTCACTCGCTCTCGGCACCTCCTCCGCTGGCTCCCTCAGCTTGCAGGGAGGTGTGGAGGGAGAGGCGTGGGCGGAAACCAGGGCTGTATGCGTGCTCTAGGACCATCACGAGTTCCAGGTGGACATGGGCTCAGCAGGCCCCACATTCGGAGCAGCCAGCCGGCACCTCCAGCCCCAGGCAGTGAGGGGCTTAGCACCTGGGTCAGCAACTGTGGAGGCTGCGCTGGGTCCCCCAGCACTGCCAGCCCGCCCACACCACACTTGAATTCTCTCCTGGTCTCAGCTGCCTCCCTGTGGGGCAGGGCTCAGGACCTGCAGCCTGCCATGCCCAAGCCCCCCGCGGTGGGCTCCCATGTGGATCAAGCCCACCCAAGGGCTGAGTAGTGCAGGTGCGGCACAGGACTGGCAGGCAGCTCCACCCGTAACCCTGGCATTGGATCCACTAGGTGAAGCCTAGTGGGCTCCTGAGTCGGGTGGGGACCTGGAGAACTTTTATGTGTAGCCAGAGAATTGTATATGCACCAGTCAGCACTCTGTGTCTAGCTCAAGGTTTGTAAACACACCACTCAGCACCCTGTGTCTAGCTCAAGGTTTGTAAATGCACCAATCAGCACTCTGTGTCTAGTTAACCTGGTGAGGACTTGAAGAACTTTTATGTCTAGCTAGAGGATTGTAAATGCACCAATCAGCACTCTGTGTCTAGCTCAGGGATTGTAAATGTACCAATCAGCACCTTGTCAAAACGGACCAATCAGCTCTCTGTAAAACGGACCAATCAGCTCTCTGTAAAATGGACCAATCAGCTCTCTGTAAAATGGACCAATCAGCAGGATGTGGGGGTGGAGGGGACAGCTAAGGGAATAAAAGCAGGCTGCCCCAGCCAGCAGCTGCAACCCACTCAGGTCCCCTTCTGCACCGTGGAAGCTTTGTTCTTTTGCTCTTTGCAATAAATCTTGCTCTTGCTCACTCTTTAAGTCCGTACTGCTTTTATAAGCTGTAACACTTACCACAAAGGTCTGCAGCTTCACTCCAGAAGCTAGCGAGACCATGAACCCACTGAGAGGAATCAACAGTTATGAATGGGAGGAACGAACAATTCTAGACGCACCACCTTAAAAGCCGTAACACTCACCGCAGAGTTCTACAGCTTCATTCCTGAAGCCAGAGAGACCACGAACCCACCAGAATGAAGAAACTCCATACACGTCCGAACATCAGAAGGAACAAATTCTGAACACACCATCTTTAAGAACTGTAACACTCACTGCGAGGGTCCGTGGCTTCATTCTTGAAGTCAGTGAGACCAGGAACCCACCAATTGGCTGGACGCGGTGGCTCACGCCTGTAATCCCAGCACTTTGGGAGGCCGAGGCAGGTGGATCACTACTAAAAAATACAAAAATTAGCTGGGTGTGATGGCGGACGCCTGTAGTCCCAGGTACTCGGGAGGCTGAGGCAGGAGAATGGCAGGAACCCAGGAGGCGGAGCTTGCAGTTAGCCAAGATCGCGCCACTGCACTCCAGCTTGGGTGACAGAGCCAGACTCTATCTCAAAAAAAACACACCAGTTTCGGACACACTATGACTGTTAGAAATCTCTAGCATGGGCAAAGGAAAGGGAAGTGGTGACTCGCTTACCATGTATGTATTATTTTTAATCTGAATTCTTCTTAATTGAGATCATTCCTATACTGAGATTAAGCAATTGATCTTTCTGAATCCAAATGAAGAATTTCACTTTACATTTACCAAGTTAGGAATTACTAATTTTAGTCCATTATTCTAGTCTGTTGATCTTATCTCACATTTTGATTCTGACACCAAATATATTTGTTATTCCTTATATTTATAGGACATTCACAAATTTGATAAGCATAAACACTACATTTTTATCCAAAGCACTCGCTAAAATGTAGAACAAAGATATTTTCATACTTTAATAATCTCTAATATTTTTCCTAAACCAGAACGGAGAGCAAATATTGTTCCCCATACCTAGGTTATATCTAATGGCAATTAAGGAGCAGGCCAGAAAACAGTCCTATGCTCAGCCACTACAGATTTCTTTTAAATGTGATTTCATGAGAATATGAATATGAAGAGAATATTAAATATACTTGCCTTAGAAAAATAACATTATTTATTCAATATAAATGAGTAGAAGAGGCCAGGCGCAGTGGCTCACTCCTGTCATCCCAACACTTTGGGAGGCCGAGGCCAGCATTTCATCAGGTCAGGAGATCGAGACCATCCTGGCCAACATGGTGAAACTCCGTCTCTACTAAAAATACAAAAATTAGCTGGGCGTGGTGGCACGTGCCTGTAATCCCAGCTACTTGGGAGGCAGAGGCAGGAGAATCGCTTGAACCAGGGAGTCAGAGGTTGCAGTGAGCCAAGATCACGCCACTGCACTCCAGCCTGAGGACAGAGTGAGACTCCGTCTCAAAATAAACAAACAAACAAATAAATAAATAAAAACAAAAATAATAAAAATAAAAAATAAATGGATAGAAAAGATATGTAAGTAGTTCCAAGGAGGGAGTATATAGAAAAAAAAAATGTTCATTGAAGATGAAGGCAGTAGAAAAAGAATATAGACTATTTAGACTATTTAAAAACTTTAAAAAAATTGAAAACATTTTATAAATCATCACAAAAATATGAATTAGACCAAAGAACTAAATTGCAACCCTGAAAAGGACTCTACATTTCTCTTCAATATTACACAGGAAAATGCCCGAAACCTTCAGGCAGCTTCCTAGCTGCAAAGTGGGGCAGGTCACAGCAAGCCCCCAGTGCTTACTGGCCAGTTCAAAACACTTCACTCCTGGGACCAGTAAAAGAGTAAGTTGTGAATACTGAAGCACTAAACAGCATGACACCTGGCTGCCCAGGAAACATTTTATCTGCTATGCCTAAAAGGCAGCTTGCTTATGGGTCTTTAAAAATCCGTACTGGCTTCTCACTGCTATTAGGAGGAAATGAATAAGCAAACCAAACTAAACTTTAGATTCTTTCTCCAGTACCACAGAAGCAAATACTGGGACTCTTTTTTTATAAATCTTTTTTATAAACTGGGTCCTGACTTTTCCATCAGTGTGCCTGTCCCAATACTAAAAGAAATTTTATTTTGAAAAAGGCAAAAATATACATAAATCCAAAATACCCTTCATGTTATGGGAGGGATTGTTATGGCAGCCAGCACCTGGGTGTATATACACAAGAGGCCGTTGCAGTTGTGCATATTTCTACTGCTCAGTCAAGGCAAACAGCAACCAGCTGGCTGTGACTAGCTCAGACTAATAAGCATAAAATCAACATAGGCTGATCCAGGCTGAATATCAGCATCTGTTATGCCATTGTCTCTGCTGATATGTCTGACTGAGCAGAAGGAAGAGCCAAATAGACAGCCTGCTATGAGGCAGAACACAACATGAGGAGCTTCTAACCACCTGCCAAGTTTTTGGTGAAGGAGCAATGGTGAGGAGACTAGTCAAATCCACAGAGAAGGTGCCTCATATGACCCTATAAACTCTGCTTTCTTTTCCAATCAGGTTTTCCCTTCTGCATTGCTTTGGGGTACTTTTAAACAAAAGGCAATAATAAAGAGCCATTGATGAGTCAAGAATTACATTAAAGATCAAGAATCATAATATCATTTTATGTTTCATTTCACTCACAAGAGACAGCCAGATGAGCAAATATAGCCGACCATGTGCTACTGCAACAAATGCTGAGGCATCCCTCTGACGTGAGCCAGTAATATTAAAAACATCAGTTATGGGGAAAACTTACCTCTCACCTATTCCTTCCTCAAGCTACTGTGGTTCTGCTCCTCAACTTGGCTTTGTCCCTGGGCATATGCACCACTTCCTGTCACTTCAGAAGCACTCAGAACATTAACATTACGCTCAGGCTCCTCTGATGCTTGATTACTCCACAGAGGAAACTACTCATCTCTCGAGAGGAGGGACTCTTAAATCATAATTTAAAGGCCAAGGTTGAAAACTGATGAAGAGGAAAAACAAATGTTATTTTTTCCAATCTTTCTTCTCTAATAGGCACGCCAGATTAGGGTTTTGAAAATACTATCTTCTCTTAGTATTTGTCCAATGAAATAAACTGAAAATCACTTGTCATGTTTTAATAGGATAATACTCTCTGAGTTCTACAAAGCATTTTTTTTTTTTTTGAGATGGAGTCTTGCACTGTCTCCCAGGCTGGAGTGCAGTGGCGCAATCTCGGCTCACTGCAAGCTCCGCCTCCAGGGTTCACGACATTCTCCTGCCTCAGCCTCCCGATTAGCTGGGACTACAGGCACCCGCCACCACACCCAGCTAATTTTTTTGTATTTTTAGTAGAGACAGGGTTTCACCACGTTAGCCAGGATGGTCTCGATCTCCTGACCTCGTGATCCGCCTGCCTCAACCTCCCAAAGTGCTGGGATTACAGGCGTGAGCCACTGTGCCTGGCCTCTACATAGTATTTTACAAAAAGAGTGTGAGTGTGGAAGTTTAGTGATTTTTAAAATGGTATTTCAGGCCGAGTGTGTTGGCTTATGCCTCTAATCCCAATACTTTGGGAGGCTGAAGTGGGAGGATTGCTTGAGCCCAGAAGTTTAAGAACAGCCTAGGCAACATGGCAAAACCCCATCTCTACAAAAAAATTACAAAAATTAGCCAGGCATGGTGGCGGGCACCTGTTGTCCCAGCTACTTGGGAGGCTGAGATGGGAAGATCACCTGAGTCCGGGAGGTCAATGCTGAAGTGAGCTATGATTGAGCCATTGCACTCCAGCCTGGGTGACACAACAAGAACCTGTCTCAAAAAAAAAAAAACAAATGTTTTAAAAGTGTGACCCAGAGGTGTGTATATAATTGATATGTAGACATTCAAACATATCTGTAGTAGCTAAAGAAAATAAGCCATGAGGACTTTTTTTTAAAAAAAAAAGAAAATAAGTGAGTTGAACAAAATAAGAAGAGGAGGCAAGGGAGATCAGAAATTTAGAATTTATATTATTTGGTGTAAATGGAGAGGAAAAAAAAGTTGTCTTAAATGTGAGGATTCCAAAACTGTGAATAACTCTGAGGAAAAAAGACTGATGCTGCAAATTAGCTCAGCATTTTTATGTTTTCTAGTGTTTTCAAGAAGCCCACATGGAGTACATTTAAAAGACACATCAGTACCTTATAATTCAATGCTTTTCGATTTTCTCTGTGCATCAGAATTATCTGGCTAACTTTTTAAAAAATGTCCAAACTTTACATCACCATCTCCCCCTCATTCTGTAGTTTGTTTTACTTATGGGGGTGGAGCCCAGATAATAGAAACTTTTTAAAGCACTCCAGGGGATTTTGCTCCTGCCACAGCTAAGAACCACTACAGCTGCAAAGGGAGAAATGCCCTAAAAGAACTAACGAGGATATGAGGAAAAGAGATTTTGGGTATCTCACCAACTCTCCTTTACAAGGTTTCTGAAGTCATGTGTGTGTGTGGTTTTGAAAGTTTCCACTAAATGATGACACTATAGAGCAAAGATCCTCACTCTCTTTAGATACTTGAACTGGATAAACCAAGCTTTCATAAGAGAAAATTGAAAGTAAAGCTCAACCAATTCAGTTGTCACATCTAAGAATTAAGACTTTTTTCTTTTGGTGTGGGCATTATAAATGGGATTGTGTTCTTTATTTGGCCCTCAGCTTGAATGTTGTTATTGGTTAATAGAAATACTGATGTTTGTACATTGATTTTATATCCTGAAACATTACTGAAGTCGTTTATCAGTTCCTGGAGCCTTTTGGCAGAGTGTTTAGGGTTTTCTAGGTATAGAATCATATCTTCTGCAAAGAGAGATACTTTGACTTCTTTTCCTATTTGGATGCCTTCTATTTCTTTCTCTTGCCTGATTACTGTGACTAGGACTTCCAGTACCATGTTAAATAGGAGTGTTGAGAGTGGGCATCATTTTTGTGTTCTGGTTCTCAAGGGCAATGCTTCCAGTTTTTTCTTATTCAGTATGATGTTGACTGTGGGTTTGTCATAGATGGCTCTTATTGTTTTGGAGTATGTTCCTTCAATGCCTAGTTTATTGAGGGTTTTATCATGAAGGGATGTTGGAATTTTTTTTCTTTTTTTTTTTTTTTAGATGAAGTCTTGCTCTGTCTCCCAGGCTGGAGTACAGTGGCGTGATCTCAGCTCACTACAAGCTCTGCCTCCCAGATTCACACCATTCTCCTGCCTCAGCCTCCAGGCACCTCAGGACTACAGGCACCCGCCACCACGCCCGACCACTTTTTTGTATTTTTAGTAGAGAAGGGGTTGCACCATGTTAGCCAGGATGATCTCGATCTCCTGACCTCCTGATCCACGTGCCTCAGCCTCCCAAAGTGCTGGGATTACAAGCGTGAGCTACAATGTTGGATTTTTATCAAAAGTTTCTTCATGTATGTTGAGATGACCATATAATTTTTTGAAAACTTTCTGTTTATGTGGTGAATCACGTTTATTGATTTGTGCATGTTGAAACAAATTTGCATCCCAGGAATGAGTCCTACTTGATCATGGTGAATTAACTTTTTGATGTGCTGTTGAATTCAGTTTGCTGGTATTTTGTTGGGAACTTTTGTGTCTATGTTGATCAGGGATATTGGCCTGCTGCTTTGTTTTTATTTGATGTGCCCTTGGCAAATTTTGGTATCAGGGTGATGCTGGCTTCACCTAATTAAACTAAAGAGCTTCTGCACAGCAAAACACACTTTCTGCATAGCAAAAGACACAGAGTAAACAGACAACCAACAGAATGGGTGAAAATATTCAAGAACTATGCATCCAAAAAAAGTCTAATATCCAGAATCTGTAAGGAAATTAAACAACTTGACTAGCAAAATATATATATATATATATAATAATCCCTATGAAAAATGGGCTAAAGACATGAGCAGACACTTCTCAAAGAAGACATACAAGTAGCCAACAAACATGAAAAAATGTGCAACATCACTAATCATCAGAGAAATGCAAATAAAAACCACAATGAGATAAGATCTCACACCAGTCAGAATGGCTATAATTAGAAAGTCAAAAAACAACAGGTATTGGTAAGACTGTGGAGAAAAGGGAATGCTTATACACTGTTGATGAGAATGTAAATTAGTTCAGCCTCTGTGGAAAGCAGTTTGGAGAGTTCTCAAAGAATTTAAAACAGAACTACCATTTGACCAATCAATCCCATTACTGGGCATATACTCAAATGAAAACAAATTATTCTACCAAAAAGACTCATACACTCACATGTTCATTGCAGCACTGCTTACAATAGCAAAGACATAGTATCAACCTAGATGCTCATCAACAGTGGATTAAAGAACCGCATATACTATGGAATATTTTATGTTGTTATGGCTGGTTATGTGGCCATAAAAAAGAATAAAATCATGTATTTTGCAGCAACGTGGATGCAGCTAGAGGTCATTATCTTAAGTGAATTAACACAGGAAAATCAAATATTCCATGTTCTTACCTATAATTGGGAGCTAAACACTGGCTATGCATGAACATAAAGACGGCAACAATAAACACTGGGGACTACATGGGGGAGAGAGGGATGGGCACAAGAGTTGAAAAAACTAACTGTTGGGTATTATGATCAGTACCTGTGTGACAGGATCAGTTACACCCCTCTGGGTATATTGCATAATGCAATATACCGAGGTAATAAATCTGCACATATATAACCCCTGCATCTAAAATAAAAGTTGAAAGAAAAAGAATTAAGAAACTTATTCTTAAAGAGGTGAAGTGACTTTACTTATTACATATGATGAACTGTATTTCAGATTGGAGGTCTGCTATATTCTCTTCAGTGCCTATAGCTCTTTGTCCATGGCTAAAATAAGAAACTAATCAGTTTTAGAAATGTCATTATGAGTCTAAGAACCCGTCCCTTTTTTTTTTTTTTTTTTTTTTTGAGACGGAGTCTCACTCTGTCGCCCAGGCTGGAGTGCAGCGGTGCCATCTCAGCTCACTACAACCTCCACTTCCCAGGTTAAGAACCGCTATCTTGAAGTGTGTGTCTCAGTACCGTGGTCCCCAGGTGATTTTGGAGAGGCTGAATAAGCAGAGGCAAGAAGGAAACAGGGCCCACTTGAAAGAAGTTTAATGAATTTAGAGCCGAAGTGTTCATTTAGTTAAGAAAGTTGGGTGAGACAAGAATGTATATCTATATTTAAGAAAAGAAGGCCGGGCGTGGTGGCTCACATCTGTAATCCCAGAACTTTGGAAGGCCAAGGCGGGCGGATCATGAGGTCAAGAGATCAAGACCATCCCGGCCAACATGGTAAAACCCTGTCTCCACTAAAAATATGAAAATTAGCTGGGTGTGGTGGTACATGCCTGTAGTCCCAGCTACTCGGGAGGCTGAGGTAGAAGAACTGCATGAACCCATAAGGTAGAGGTTACAGTGAGCTGAGATCGCACCCCTGTACTCCAGCCTGGCGGCAGAGCAAGACTCTGTCTCAAAAAATTTAAAAAAAAAAAGAAAAGAAATTAGATCTTTACCTCATTGCAAATACAAAACATGAATTCCATTTGTAGAAAATGCCCAAAAGTAAAAATATAAATGTTTAAAATTTTATAACAAAATACAGCCATTATTTTAAGGCTCGGTGCAAAAATAGATTTCTTAAGATAAACAAAAAAAGCACAGATCACAGAATAAATAAAATGAAAATTTGACGACAGTACATGTATAATTCTGTACCATAATAAGACACAATTTAAAAAACAAATTTCAAGACACAGGTTGGAAGAAAATTCTTCAAAAATATATAACAGGGAAAGAATTGGTATCCAGAATATATAAAAATACAATGTAGTTTTTTAAAATAACTAAATGGAAGAAAACAAGGGCAAATTCACAATTCACAGAAGAGGAAACTCTAATGACCAGTCAACAGATGAAATCATACCCAATCTAAAGAAAATGTAGATTCAAATAACCAGAAAATGCTCTTTAGCACTCAGCAAATTGGCAAGATAACTAATATGTGATAATTTCAAATACCAACAAACAATAGAAGGTACAAATTCTCATGCATCCCTAGTTGTAGTAAAAATTGCTCCAACTCCATTATGAAATAATGTAGAAATAACTGGCAGGTATACATATATAAGACCAGAAATATCACATATATGTATATATCCTTGTGAAACTCACACAGCATACAAGAAATGTGCAGATTATTCGCTGAAGCATTAATTTCTATTAGAAAAACAAAATGTGAACAACCTAAATATTCAACATGAGACTCTGAAAGTAAATTATGGTATGCCCTATATTGGAATCCTGTAGACCTGGTAAAATAAATGAACAAAGTTACCTGTGTCAATAAACGTTGAACGAAATAAGAGAAGAGGCAGTAGAAAAGAAAGAGAAAAAAGGAAAGTTTATTTCCTTTAGCCAAAAAACTTTCAGAGTTAGTGGGAAAACACTAAAGGAAGTACTGTAGTAAACTGATTTAATACTCTGACCTTTGCAGTCAAGTAAAAGTGGGTTCAAAATCTTTATCTGACACTTATTTCCAATGTAATATTAGACAATTGCTCAATTTCTTTAAGCCTATTGTGTTCATCCATAATATAAAAATAATAAAATCTAACTTATGAAATTGTTTCAGGCATTAAATTAGGTAAGAGTAAATTAAAAGTTTTTCTGGCTTAAGAAAATTGTTCAATTAAAAAATAGATTACAGTAATCTCTTTTCTCATCTTCTTTTTTCATCTTTATACATATTGTGCTAAATGCTATAAATATTATGTTGCCCGATAAGAATACGGTCCCTACTCCTGCAGAACCTAATGATTCTCTTAGAATTAGACCTAAAGACAAAGTTACGTCAGCTACCTAAGCATCTCACAGTGTGAAACCTCTAACCTCTATGTGCTTTCACTAAACATAGCATTTGCTTGCTCAGGCTATCAATCAACTGAACAAAGAAACAAAACAACCCCTCAAACCAGAAAATCCATAATCTTCAAGTACATCTCGTTCTTTGAAGCAGATGTTGCCATTATTATAAAGGTCAACTCTTCATTTAGGGTTTAGATGGGTGATATTTGAAGAAGGCTGAACATATTGGATTAATGACTGACAGTAACAGATTACCAAACTAGGCATATAGTAAATGCTCTACAGATTAGCTAAATGAAGGTAATGTGTCCTAATTTTGATTTGTCTAAACTCACTAGTACTTTGCAGACATCAAACCATTTCAAAACATTAGGTTCATAAACAAGTGAACAGATTCTTTATCAGGATCAAAGTAATAAAGTTAAGATTTGAGTTTCTCACCATGTAGTCAATAACATGAAGAAAGAATATGGAGGCTGAGGAAAAAGAGTAGTGTATATATCCCTGTTATCTTCAATCCCCCTCCCTTATTTCAGTCTCTCTCAATCTCTCATTAAAGACTTCATTAACAGCATTTTACAACAACCCAACAGAAAAGAATAAATTTCAGGAGTTTTATTAAATGGAATAGATTGCTTTACACATAAGAGTCATGGTTAAATTTCAACAATACAGCATGTTAATTGCAAAATAAAAATAAATGTAGCTTTTAAAAGATCAGGAACTGTGTTAGCTGTGACTAATGACAACGGCAACAAAAAGAAAAACATGCCCTCATTCCTATGCAATAAAGGCTAATAAAGCCTACTTCTATAACATTTTAGTTTCAGAAATTATCCAAAGGAGAGCAGATCTGCCTCTAGTAAAATTGTTTAAAGTGTTTGATAGACTGAATTGAACAAGTCCTTTACTAATGTACTTACACTTAAAAAATAAAAAATAAAAATAGGAAATGTTGTCACATTAAGTTGCATTTAAATGAGAATATTTACTTCAAGAGAATTTGTTCAGATTACTTAAGTCAAAGTTATATACATGTAGCTTGAACATTTTGTTAGAAGTAGTAAAACTAATTTTCAGTGAAACAAAAATATTTGAAGTTCTTAGGATGTATGCATTAGATAAATATTTATAGGCCACATTCTTCAGATACCAAGATTAAATAAACCAACAACAGAGCCATAACCCATAAAAAGCCTACACTTTATAAAGGATATTAGTAGACGTCATTGCAGCTGTATTTTTTAAGCAGAATTCTGAAGGATGGCTATAAGAGGATTAATTAGAAAAGATGGTGAATGTGTCTCATACTAGAGAGAGGAAAAGGCATAATTGTAAAATGCTATTACATTGTGGTATGTCCTTGGGTAAAACTGAGTAGTTGGATGCAAATAATAAAGTAGTAGTATTTAGTTTCTTAATGTCATTAATACTAGTGTTTCAGTAGCAGTCTGATTTCTCAATCTTACCATCCACTTAGAGGAAAAGGCCATTCTCTTCTCTCACTACATCTCTTATCCTGGATCAATGTATACATCATGAAATATGGCCACTTTGGCTCCATGCTCTGATCTTCCAGAAAAAGGATAATGCTTCAACTTAATGGGTAAATCAAAGATAACAGAAAATCTCAACCCATTTCAAGTGGCCCATGGGAGAAAGGGCTTGCTTTGTAATTGCGTTCTTGCTCTCTCTCTGCATCTTGTCC